>NC_000001.11:233305333-233456848 GCF_000001405.40 Homo sapiens
AGTTTTTATATAATATTGAAATGAAGCTAATATTAATCTGAATTAGATTGTTTTAAGATGCTAATTGTAATCTCTAGGGCAATCACTAAAATATTAAATTTCATTTTATTTTTCTTTTATTTATTCTTTTGTGACAGGGTCTCACTCCATCACCCAGGCTGGAGTGAAGTGGTGCAATTATGGCTCGTGCAGCCTCAACCTCCCAGGCTATAGTGATCCTCCCCCACTCAACCTCCCAAATAGCTGAGACTACAGGCGTGTGCTCCCACGCCCAGCTAATTTTTATAATTTTTATATTTTTTGTAGAGACAAGATCTCACTAGGTTGCCCAGACTGGTTTCAATCCCCTGGGCTCAAACCATCCACCAATCTTGGCCTCACAAAGTACTGGGATTACAGGCATGAGCCATTATGCCCAGCCTAGAAACTAAATTTTAAAATACAGTAAAGGAAACACAAGAATGAACTAGAAAATATCCACTTAACAATAGAGGAGGCAGTAATGGAGGAAGAGAAAAACAAAAACACACATGACATATAAAAACAAGTATCCAAATGGCAGATGTAAGTTCACCTTATCAGCAATTACACTAAATGAAAATGGGTTAAACACTAAAATCAAAAGGCAAAGTTTGCCAGGATGAATTTAAAAACATGATCAAATGCTAGAAAAGACACACTTTAGATTCAAGGATATAAACAGGTGGAAAGTAAAAGGGTAGAAGAAGCAAACCAAGAGAGTTAGAGTGTTTTGTGGGCAGCTATTATTATTTATTTGTACTAATATCAGACAAAATAGACTTTGATACAACAGTTTTTACTAAGAAAAAGAAAAGCGTTTTATAATGATTAAAGGGTCAGTTCATTAAGAAGATAAAATAGTTATAAACCTATATGCACCCAACAACAGAACCTCAAAACGTAAATAACAAAAGCTGACAGAATTAAAGGGATAAGTTAATAATTCAACAACAATAGTTAGAGACTTTAATATCCTGACTTTCAATAATGGATCAAACAACTAGGCAGAAGATTAACAAGGAAAGAGAAGTCTTGGGCAACAACATGTAGATATCCAGTACTGGTAGCATGAAGCCCCATCTAAAATTTGGTTTGGATGTCAACACTAGTGACATCACACAAACAACACAAGGTTCTGAAAAAGCTTATTACTTAATCAATCTATCTGGGGAAAGCAGGGCACATCTTTAAGCAAGTCTGAAAAGGCTCGAAAGAGGACAAATATTTTTATTGGATTGGGAAATATACATGTTAAATGGCTGAATTGTATGGCATGTGAATTATACATCAATAAAGCTGTATTCAAAAAAACAAATAAACCAAAATATGTGCTTGAAGGTATCTGACCACCTTCACATGATTGTGAAGAATTATTCATTTTAGATTTTGAGATTTGATTTTCCCTTGGTGTGTTTATCAATTCTGAAGGGGCAATTTATTCTGAGAATGTTGTGATTAGGAAGGACACTCAGAGGGCTTCTGAATGAAAACATTCTGTATGTTTACCTGGCTCATGATTACAAGAGTATTTGTTTTATAAAAATTTATTAAGCTGTGTATATATGTTTCATGCATTTTTCTCTACAAGTACTCTACCTTAAAATAAAATAGTGATTTTTAAAAAGATATATATTATGGTAAAGTTATCAAAATTTGAAGATAAAGAATCTGTTGGGTAATCCAATAAAAAATAGATAAAGAAATAAAGTTACATATAAAAGGAAAGTGTTAGCTTGACCTCAGAATTTTCTTCAGAATTATATAATGTGAGAAGTTGATGAAATTATGGTTACAAAATCCTCTGTGAAAGATCAATGTACATATTTGCTACTTAATATACTTTGGATATTTATTCCTTCCAAATCTCATGTTGAAATCTGATCCCCAACGGTGGAGGTGGGTGTGGTGGGAGGTCTTTAGGTCCTGAAGGCAGATCCCTCATGAATGGCTTGGTGCCATTCTCAGAGAGAGTGAGTTCTCACTCTTAGTTCCTGGGAGAATTGATTGTTGAAAATAACCTGGCACCTCCCTCCTCTCTCTCTTGCTCTCTCACGCCATGTGACACACCAGCTCCCATTTGCTTTCTGTCATGAGTGGAAGCAGCCTGAAGCCCTCCCCAGAAGCTGATGCTAGCTCCATGCCCCTTGTACAGCCAGCAGAACTGTGAGCCAGATAAACCACTTTTCTTTATAAATTACCCAGCCTCAGGTATTCCTTTACAGCAACACAAAAAGACTAAGGCACTGTTATGGTGGATCTAAAAATTTTGTAAGAGACAGTGGTAGCTTCCATTGAATAATCTCTCTGTGTCTGGTACTATTATTAGCATTCCACATCTATTCACTCTTTGAGTCCACAAAACCACTTTTTGAGGAAGGTGCTATAATCATTCCCGTTTTACAAGCAAGAAAACAAGCACAGAGAGGTTAAGTAAATTGTCTGTGTGCTAAGGGATTGTGGCCAGTTTCAAACCTCAGCAGAATGAGTTCAGAGCCCACGCTCCAGAGCTGCATCTGAACCACTGCATTACCTCCAAGCAAAACAGTCACTTAAGCATGAAGGCCACATAACATGTGAGAACTCAGAAGACAACATTCACGTGAGTCTTCTTGGAACAGGTCACCAAAGGATGAACTTCTGTTAACCAAGTTATGAATTGAGAAACTGACAAAAAGCCAGATGTGAGAATTGAGTCCATATAGTATAAAGACTAAAACAAAGTTATGGCTTATGATTATAGAACAAAACACAAATGATACCAAATCCATACATGAAGAAATGATATAACTAACTAAAGTTATCAAAAGACATAGGAGAAGAAGCTGGGCGTAGTGGCTCACGCCTGTAATCCCAGCACTTTGGGAGGCCGAGACGGGCAGATCATTTGAGGTCAGGAGTTTGAAACCAGCCTGGCCAACATGACAAAATCCCGTCTCTTCTAAAAATACAAAAAAATTAGCCAGGCATGGTGGTGGATGCCTGCAATCCCAGCTACTTGGAAGGCTGAGTCAGGAGAATTGCTTGAATCCAGGAGGCGGAGGTTGCAGTGAGCCGAGATCGTGCCACTGCACTCCAGCCTGGGCGACAGAGCAAGACTCTGTTTAAAAAAACAAAAAAAAGAAAGAAAAAGAAAAAGAAAAAGAAATAGGAGAAGAGAAAAGGTAAGAAGCCCCAAAATATTTAATTCTGACACACCAAATAATAGATGTATAAAGATATTTAGTGGTATAAGAGTAAATCTTAAGAAACATAAACTTATCAGATAAAGCTGGGTGGTAGAGAAGAAAAAGAAGTGAAACTAAACTATTTTTAATCCTGTTTATAGTAAGAAATCAATAGAGAACATCTAAAAAGATTAAATTAACATGTTAAATTTAAAAAGATAACTCTAAAGCCAAAAACTATAATCCTTCCAAATTTTCAGAAGCTGCATAAAACAAAATAATAAAAAAACACAAACTACATAGTGAAAGATATTTTTTAAAGTAAAAGAAACAAATGAAGCACAAAATGTGATATAAAATGACACAAAATATGTTGGTAATATCTATAAGTGTAAATGGCTTTAACTTACTTATTAAAGGACAAAAAGAATACAAATGAGTCTTAGAGAAAATCCAAGCATTGGTTATTTATAGGAGATACACCTATGAAAGAGTGTCTCAGAAAAATTGAAAGTAATAAAAAGAGGCAAAAGTTCCTCAGACAAACAGGAAAAAATGTTGGGTGGGTGTGTGATAAGGGAAGCTCAAAATCTTGTTATTAAATAAAATTAATGAAATAAAATTATTAAATGAGATAATCTTCATAAGGAAAGAAATTCACAATACAAAATTTGAAGTTATGAATGTCCATGATCAAAAGAAAAGAGCACCAACATTTATCAGTTAAAATATTTGGAATATGGCCGGGCGCGGTGGCTCATGCCTATAATCCCATGGCTTTGGGAGGCCAAGGTAGGTGGATCATTTGAGGTCAGGAGTTCAAGACCAGCCTGATCAACATGATGAAACCCCACTTCTACTAAAATACAAAAATCAGCTGGGCGTGGTGGCGGCCTCCTGTAATCTCAGCTACTCTGGAGGCTGAGGCAGGAGAATCCCTTCAACCCAGGAGGTGGAGGATGCAGTGAGCCAAGATCATGCCACTATACTCCAGCCTGGGCAACAGAGTGAGACTCCCTCAAAAAAATAATAATAATAATAATAATAAAATTAAAAAATATATACAAAACTTAATTTAGCCAGGCACAGTGGCTCATGCCTGTAATCCTGGCACTTTGGGAGGCTGAGGAGGGCGGATCCCCTGAGGTCAGGAATTCAAGACCAGCCTGGCCAACATGATGAAACCCCGTTTCTACTAAAAATACAGAAATTAGACAGGCATGGTGGTGGGCGCCTGTAGTCCCAGCTACTCAGGCGGCTGAGGTGTGAGAATTGCTTGGGTCTGGGAGGCGGTTGTTGCAGTGAGCTGATTTTGCACCACTGTACTCCAGCCTAGGCGACAGAGTGAGACTCCATCTCAAAATTAAAAAAGAAATAAAAATAATAAAAATTTTTGGAATAAATAAGAAACAACCAAAAGAAGGATTCAATTCTCCTTTTTCTGCCCATTACACATCAAATAAATAATAAAGTTATTAATAATTCCTAAATAACATAATTGATATGTGTATGTCAACTATGAACTCCACTTATATACAATGTACCATCATTTCAAACATTCTCAGAGCACTCACAGAATCTGAGTCTATATTCATGAAAGAAAATCTCAATGAACTCACAAGAGGAAAACCAATATAAATAGTATTTTCTGATCATAGTTTAATAAAATTAGAGGCTAATAGCCAACTAGGAAATAAACCAATATCTATCATCTAGAATTTTAAAAAATTTTTGCTCAAAACCTGTTGGTTCAAAAAATAAGTAAAGATCAAAATAATGAAATATCTGATGTATCTTATGGAAAACTGATAGTATATCAGTACCAATAGGATCCAAAAAGGGAAAAAATACTAGTGCTCAAAGGAAAATATACAGACCCAAATAATTATGCTATCAAAAATATGTAGAGGAGACCCCTGGTTGTCTACCAGAAACCACTGTCCCCTTCTTGAAGAATAATGCGGACCACATTTCCCAGAACATCTTTTGGGGAGTTGCGGCTATGCAACTGAGTTCTGGAACAGTAGTAGGAGAGATGTGTGTATCCTGTCAGGCCCAGCACATTCAGCTTCCTGGATGTTCTTCCAGGTCCTTCTGCTGGCTGGGTGCTCATGACAGTAAAGTTGCTGTGAGGTGTCTCTGTCCCTGTGTATTGCTGTAAAGGAATACCTGAGGCTGGGTCATTTATAAAGAAAAGAGGTTTATTTGGCTCACGATTCTGCAGGCTGAACAAGAAGCATGGTGTCAGTATTTGCTTCTGGTGAGGGCCTCAGGCTGCTTCCACTCATAGTGGAAGGCAAAGGGGAGCTGGTGTGTGCAGGTCACATGGCAGGAGAGAAGGCAAAAGAGAGAGGAGGGAGATCCTCAGCTCTTTCTAACAATCAGCTCTCTCATTACCACAAGGAGTGTACCAGGCTGTTCACCAGGGATCTGCCCTTATGACCCAAATACCTCTGACATTGGGATCCACTTTCAAAATGAGACTTGGTGAAGCCAAAACACATATCCAAACCATAGCAGGAAGCCGCAAGTTATGCTCAGCCTGGGTCTCTGACTATGAGGAGAACATCCACATGGCTGAACTGAGTTCCTGCCCAAGTGTTCTAATAAGCAAGATAACATTTTTTTATTGTGTTAAGCAACTAAATTGTAGGGATTTCTTTGTTACCATAGTATTACCTACCATAACTAACCCAGAAGCTATTACCTGGAAATAGTGTACTAATATAATAAAACCTAAAAGAGCCAACATTGCCTGAGCAGTTGTTGAACAACTAAGGAACAAGGAGTCATGGCAGCCTGCCTGGAAAGATGGAGACCCAAGTTATGAGGTGATCAAAGACTTTGCAAAACTCACCTTCGGGAATTTGGAGGACCTACCAACAACTACCAAGCCCATGGCTCCAGAGCGGGGAGAAATGTTTGTTTATATGTGTTGCCAGTTCTTGGCTCCATTTTGCAAATTATAATAAGAAGAAAGAATTAAAGTTTCAAAGCAGAACACCAAAGCTTTGAATAACTTCAGTATGGAAAAACTGAGTAATACACACAAATATCCGCTTCTTTCATGGAAATAAATTACAATAGAAATAAATGAATTTTTACTGCATTAAGTCACCAAAATTTGGGGGATCCATTTGTTACTGCAGCTTAGCCTATCCTAATTAATACAAGAAACAATAAAAATAAACATATTAGACATTGAAATCAAGAATTAAGAAAAATAATAACAAAAAACCCAGGGAAGACAGATGGAATGTATTGATAACTATAATTGCAGTAGAAAATACAAAAACAAATAGAACTTAAAAATAATTACAGCCGGGTGTAGTGGCTCACACCTGTAATCCCAGCATTTTGGGAGGCTGAGGCGGGCAGATCACCTGAGGCCTGAGGTCAGGAGTTCGAGACCAGCCTAGGCAAGATGGTGAAACCCAGTCTCTACTAAATGTACAAAAATTAGCCAGGTGTGGTGGCAGGCGCCTATAGTCCCAGCTACTTGAGAGGCTGAGGCAGGGAGATTTGCTTGAACCCGGGAGGCGGAGGTTGCAGTGAGCCAAGACCTCACCACTGCACTCCAGCCTGGGCTACAGAGCAAAACTCTGTCTCAAAATAACAATAATAATAATAATTACAAAGCTGGTGGGGGTGGGCATAGGAAACAATAAAATAGATAAATTAATAGCCAACTTAAGCAGAAACAAAGGGCAAAGGACAAATAGGCACAAAGGAAATGAAAAGGACAAAACAAACAGAACAAGAAGAAATATAAACATCGTAAGAGAATACTTTGCTTTTGAGTATTCAAATAAATGTAGAATCTAGATATAATTGGATAATTATCTAGAAAAATATACATTGTCAAATCATACCCCAGAAGATACTAAAAGTCTTTATTTATTGAAATAAGAGAAAAATGATCTGTAGAAGAAATAGAGAATATTATTACAAAACTATAATTTCAAGAAGCACCAGGCCCAAGTTATTTCACAGCAGATTTTTACATCAACTTTTATGAAATATGAAATAGGTAATTCCAATGTAACTTAAGCTATTTCAGAACACTAAACAAGACGAAAAACCCTTCCAAATTCTCTGTATGAAGGTAGCATAAAACATTCCAAAAATTCAATAAAAATCCATAACTACACTCAATCACAATTATGAATGATGATGTAAAAATCCAAATTAGGTATTAGAAACAAATGTAGCAACACATAAAACTCCAAAGAGAGTTCATCCCCAGAGTACAAGGATGGTCAATATGTAAAGGATGTCTAGTAAAATAGGGAAATTTTGGATGTCCATTAGTAAGACTATTATTTATATTGTTCTGGGCCATCAGTCAATGGATTAGAAAAAAAATTCATATGAAGAAAACCTTAAAATGTAACCGAAAGAAAAAAAAAAGACTAAGCAAATGGAAAGGCATAGACACTGTGTACCCAGAAGATTCAGTGTCATACTAACTCTTGCTAAACTGACTTATAACTCTAACATTATCTCAATTTTGAAAACCTAAAGGAAGAAACTAAAATTACACATCACAACACGGATGGATCTTAGAAATAAAATGTTGATCTCAATAAGCTCAAAGGAGTATATGATTCTGTTTATATGAAATTAGAAAACAGGCAAACTTAATTTGCTATGACAGGCCAGCAATTAGAAGGAAGCACAGGGAGTTTCTGGGCTTCTGGCAATGCTCCGCTCCTTGATCTGTGAACTGCTCACATGCATGAGTGTAGTTTGTATTCAGTATGAATAAATAAGCAAAGAAGAATTGCCAGGAAAATTCTAGAAAAAAATATTAGCCAAGATTAGTCCCAGCAGACACTATAATATTGTGGCATGGGGGGATAGGTAGACAGACTTGTCAGTGAGATGGAACAGAGAACCAGGAAGTGGTATGGAATAGAAGAAAACCTATGGAAAATAATTTTCAGTAAATGGGAAAGACTATTTGTACTACAACTTAGAAACAATAAAGGAACAGATTCAACAACAGATTCAACTATGTAGAAGTAAAAGCAAGAAAACAAGCAAGCAAGACAGAAAAAGAGAAAGTGGGGAGGGAATGAAGAAAGAAAGAGGAAAGAAAGAAAAAGAAAAAATCTAGACAAATCAGGAAAAATATGTGAACCTCATGACCAAGACATATAAGTTAGTATACACAGACCTCCTAAACATCAGTAAGAAAAGACCAACCAAAAATGGACAAAGAAATAACAGGTAGTTCACAGTAAGGGTAATTAAATGACCCAAACATAGGAAAAAATGTGCAATCTCACTCACAATAAGCAACGCACTTTACAACTATGGGAGACCAGCTGCCACTATCAGACTGGGAAAAGACAAGTTGTTGCTGTGTTGAGAAAGGTGCTGGTGGGAGTGTAAAGTTTCCTAGCTCCTGTGGAGGCCCATTTAGCCACATCTGTCAAAATTACAAATGCATGTGCCCTTTGACTCGGGAATCCCATTCGCAGGAATTTAACCTACTTGTATGCAGGCACTTGTGCAAATGGCAAATTATGAAGATATTTGCTGCAGGGCTGTATGTGATAACAGAAAATTGAAAGTAGCCTAAATTTCCATCAAAGGCAGTCATTAAAGAAACGATTATGCAGCAGACAGTGAGTACTACAGAAAAGTTAAAGACAATGAGGCAACTTTTAATGTCCTGCCTTTAAATTTATATGATACATATATATTTAGAGAGAGAGAGAGATGCATACATCTATCTCTGGATGTATTGTGTACATCTATTTCTGGAAAGATACAAATTAAATTCTTAAGCAAGAAAATGGATGGCTGGGGAGTAAACAGTGTGGGGGAGAATTTTAACTTTTCAAATTATCCTTTTGTGTATATGACCTTTTCAAAATGTGTATTTTATTTCATTTTATTTAAAGATATGTATATAAAAATAACTAAGAGAACACACATACAAGTTTTTCTAGGTTACTTCTACGTGGAAAACATTTAAAAATATGGAGGCAACTGATCAAGAGAATAATTAACAGCTAAGAGAATATTAACTTTGCTTTCAAAAGTAGGGTTAGAATCCATCTAAGTAGGAAAAATAAAGTTTTCAGTACCAAAGTTAATATGAAGGAGAATCAATATTCTGTATAAATGGAAGCTGTGGCTCAAAACCATAATTTGTCAATATTTTTTCAAGATGTTTAATTTGAAATCTTTGCATTAGGCTGGGGGCTTTTATTTAAAAAAAAAAAGATATTCTTACGTTATTACAGAAAACCAGTTTGTCCAAGATAATTTTCAGGTAAGGAAATACCCCTGAAAGGGATACTTACTGGAAACTTTCACTCATTGAACCCTCACCTTTATCAAGTGACATTGTAAAAGATTAGGAAGACTTCAAATGACCCTGTGATTAAGTAGCAACCACAAATAATACTTCACATTTATATGGCACATTATAGTTTTCAAAGTACTTCACATTCACCAGTGCCTTCAGGATAACAAAGACGACCCTATAGGGTAACAACAACATCCATACATTCAGGAAGGGCACATCGTAATGCAGATTCTATGTCTTTGGGCACTGAAAATTCTTACAGAGAATAAGTGATAACCATGAGGTTAGATAAAGCAGCAACGGGAATGGATTCAAACAGAGCAGTCATAGCTGGTATGTTCCGCATTCACATATAAGAGAAGAAAAGGTCAGATAAGTTAATTTAAGAGTGCTTTAGAAATGTCAGAAAATATTTTAAAATACTGCAGAAAAAACAGAGATTATTTCATGAAAGAAACCGGAACTACACAGATTGTGCTAAATTAACATACGCTTCATGCATTAACAAAATAAATGATTGGATTTATTTAGTCTTTCTCTTCTGAGAATTTCAAAAGAGCTGTTCAATTTTATCATCTCATTACTTCTCATTGTAGTCATTATATAGTATTCTTAAAGGGGTATGTTAATATTAGTCTAATTTTATATGTGGATGAAAAATTTGGAGAATTGAATAAAATCTCAAGGTCTCTAAAATGGTCAGTGGTGTAAGTTCAGCTTTTAATGAATGTCGCAGTCCACTTTGAGGGAGTTACACCTCCCAAAAATAGACCTGATATACAGAAAACCATCATTTTCATAGAACAAATAAGATATAAGTCACTACAGAGTAAATTTGCGCAGGGAAAGAAAGTTAACTCACAAAAACAGGTAGTATGACCAACTTTTGGCATTTAAAAAACAAACAAAGCAAGTATAAACCAATTTCTCTATGATTTATTCTCTGTGACCTTAGAAGGATGACTAACCTTTTTTTAAAAAAAAAATCTTTGTCCTCTGTGTCCTTTGTTTAATATTTCTAGCAGGTTGTGAAGAATTAGTCATTATGTTTGAAAAGAGTCCAATGAATTGTAAATACAATAAAACCAATTTTCATCAGACAAATGTGCAAAAATGGCAACTCAGGGTAAATGGCAGCCTTCCTATCTCAGGTCCAAGGTCATGAGCTTGATAGTTTACTTCAGAAAGGATATCTTCCAGGGTTTACAAAAGATCTGGGCTTTCTGGAACCACTCAGGTTTTTACATTGTTGCATTATTGAATGAAGTAGCTCATTGTCCATTTCAGCGGCCCTTGCTATAATCTGTAACTTTAAGCATGAACAGGCAGGGCTCCAGTCCTGTCCACTGATTAAAGTTACAAAAATTCTAAAAATCACAATTACTCTGTCTAAAGCTGAAAGGTAGCTGAAGCTATGAGAATAAAGAGTAACCTAACACAGGCTGAATTCAAAGCTTTGACACTAACAACAGATGCCAATAAATGTTAACTTATTACTGTTACCGTATCATCACCACCATCAGCATTGTTGTCATTATTCTTACTTGTTTAACTGCACTTTTTTTTCACTTGTTTGTTTGTTTTAACCTGTCACTAAACTGAAGCTCAAGACCCCACATCTTTAAATGCATGAAAATGAACCAGAGAAGCAGAGTCAAGAGAAAAAGGCTAATTTACAAGCTCACAAGACCTTCAAAAAGAACTTCATGCTATTTTTTACTAACACCTCCTTCATTTATAATTACTCAGCTGTCATACTGACATAATGAACTGGGCCTTCAGATAATGTGAAAGTCGAAACACTCCCTTGTAGTATTTGTTCACTTAAACTTTCTCCAGATAATTGCTTGCCAAACCCCTCCTGTCCCTCAAGTCTTTGCTCAAATCTTATCTTCTCAATGAGGCTACTCTGTCCTCCCTACTGAATACCAGGTTAACCCCCTCCCCATTCCTGACTCATCTTACCCATCTTTTCTTACACTCCTCTTAATGTTTATAAAGAAATTATCAAATCTAACATACTACATAATTTACTTATTCATCCTGTCTATTTTTCATCTGATCCTGCTAAAATATAAGCTCCATGGTAACAGGCAACTTTGTTTTATTCACCATTATATTCCAAATAACTAGAATTAATGCTTGACGTTCACAAAAATAGGTATCAAATGATGAAACTAATCTTTCTGTATATTCTGTCCAATCTGTTACAAACCAAGTGAATATTCTTATTACTTGGATTTATTGCAGCATTGTTCATGATGAGTAAGTCAGAATACTGGTGACAACAGGGCTGGGTTCAAAGGCTCAAACCTGTAATCCCAGCACTTTGGGAGGCTGAGGCAGGCGAATCAGCTGAGGTCAGGAGTTCAAAACCAGCCTGGCCAACATGGTGAAATCCTGTCTCTACTAAAAATACAAAAATTAGCTGGGCGTGATGATGGGTGCCTGTAATCCCAGCTACTCTGGAGGCTGAGGCAGGAGAATTGCTTGAACCTGGGAGGCAAAGGTTGCAGTGAGCTGAGATCGTGCCACTGCACTCCAGCCTGGGCAACAGTGCGAGACTCTGTCTCAAAAACAAACAAACAAACAAACAAACCAAACCAAAACAAAAAAAACTGATGACAACAAGATAAAAGTTACAATTAATCTCATATATGTATAATTTGGTTTGCTCAGAAAGCATTATGTTTTTAGATGTGATATACTTGAGAGTCTTGGAAGTTACTAATCCAACTTTTAATTCTGACTATCCTAAGGAAAATGTTTAAATTTTTTTGGCACAGTGAAATTGATCTTTGGTGTAGGAAAATATACTAAATGAGGGGCGGGGGGAGAAGGGATAAATATGCCTTCTATTGAATTTTCTGTTTCAATAAGTCCTTCATAAACAATACCTAATATTAAAATAACAGCTAATATGTATTAGCACTAGTTAAATGCTATGCTTTAATGCATTAGCTCAATGAATCCTCAAAACAACACCACAGGGCAGATACTATTATTCCACCATTTTACAAAGGGGAATAAAGACGAGGTTTCAAGTAACAAAGGCGAAGCCAAGATTGGAGTCCATGTCTTCCTGCATATGCTTGCTGTTAATCGCAGTGTTATATTCCCTTGTATTGCTCAGCAACTGATGGTGGGTTACACCAAATTATACCACCCAGGTAAAACACACACACATACACACTTGCCCTATCTCCCAAGTGTAATCCAAGGTAAGTATGACAGCTGGCATTTCCAAAGTTTCAGGATACCAATCCAGATGCTTTTTGTCTCAAGAAGTTTGGCACGGGGCCTGATATGGGCAATCCTATTGAGCTACTAATAATCTCTAAAATTGTGTGTTTTACCTCTAGAAATGGAAAGGTTTGGGGAAAAATAACTAAAAGTTGGGGGAAACATTTTATATCCCAGAAAGTTTTCCATTTTTTAAAGAATTCACATACAGTTTTTGAGGGACTATTTTTCCTCACCCCTCCCTTTAACCGCTGCAGTTTTTCATCTCTCCTCATATCCAGATATCTCAGACCATTTTTAAGGTCTTTCTATTCATATTTCCTTTCTCAGCTCCTTCCAAGAAAATATCCTTTTCTCTAGTTGAGTGACCTCAATGGCTGGTGAACCCATAATCATTGTTCTGTGTCTCTATGAATAGTTTCTTCCTCCATCTCCTCATGATTGCATCACTCCCCCACCATCTTTTTCTTTTTCTTTTTCTTTTTTTTTTTTTTTTTTTTGAGACAGAGTCTCACTCTTGTTCAGGCTGGAGTGCGGTAATGCAATCTCAGCTCACTGCAACCTCCGCCCCCGCCCAGGTTCAAGTGATTCTCCTGCTTCATCCTCCTGAGCATCTGAGATTACAGGTGTCTGCCATCATGCCTGGCTAAGTTTTGTATTTTTAGTAGAGATGGGGTTTCACCATGTTGACCAGGCTGGTCTCAAACTCCCGACCTGAAGTGATGATCTGTCCACCTCAGCCTCCCAAAGTGCTGGGATTACAAGCGTGAGCCACTGCGCCCAGCCATTCCCATCCCTTTTCACTTACCTAATCCTACCCACCCAGAAGTCCCCACTTACGTTTCATCTGCAAGACTCTCTCATACTGAGGGTGACCAGCCACCCCAAGACTTCAGCACTGAATGTCCTGTGACCAGGAATCCAGGACATTTGTCCACCTCACACAACCCTCCTCACTGATACCCACCATCTTTCAGCTGCTCCACAACTCCATCCACTCCACAAAGCCTGTCCCTCTCTCGGGTTGCTATCTCCTTATACTGGTTTATCTTGACTCTGTAAGACCCTCGATGGCAAGGACAACTCTGGATTAATGCCCACCATCTCCACTTCCTCATCCCTCATTTTTTCACTGTAAACCACACCCCCCCATGGTTTTGAACTACTGAAGCTGAATTTGTAAACGTCAGAGGTTTCTTCACCACCAATTCCCGTGGCAACTTTTTCCTCTTCTTCCTCTCTAGGGTCATGACTGCTCCCGCAGGTAGATTAGATCTCCTATGAAAGGGATTATCTTTTCTGGTATTAGCTACTGAGGCTCCTTTCAGACAGGAAACTGAAGTCAAAGCAGGTGCAAGAGAGAGGAAAAGCATAATCACGCTCTGAGCTTATGGTCGTCAGGTCTAAGTGGAAGCCCAAGAGAGAAAGCCAGGTGTTCTGGGTTAATGTGAGGGCTGAATTCCATTTCGTAGTCTCATTTGCCTTTAGTAACATCTTTCTTAAATGACCCAGCTTTGTCTGTACTGCCCGTGTTATCACAAGGTTTTGAACAAAGGGTCTTATGCCCTCACTTGAACAAGTGCTTTATCGGCAGAGTTTATTTCCCTTTGTGGACAATTCTCAAATTTTTTTGATCTCAGGATCTCTTAATGTGCTTAAAAATTATTAAAAACCTCAAAGAGTTTTTGTGTATGTGCTTCATAACTATCAATCACTTCTGTATTGGAAATTAAAACAGAGACATCTAAAATATTTATTTATAGCTTTATTTTAAAGATAACATTAATAATTCCATTACATGGTAACATTAAATACATTTTTAGAAATAATTCATTTTCCCCAAACTAAAACATATAGGTAAGTTGACTGGTATTGTTTCATATGTTTATAAATTTCTTTTATGCCTGGGTTAATAGAAGACAGCTGCATTGTCTTATATGTTTCTGCATTCAACGTGTTGCAATATATTGTCCTGGCTGAAGTATATGGAGAAATTCTAGCCTCATAAAGATATGTATTTGCAAAAGGCAAAGCATTTTTTTAACTTTTTGTTTGGATGGAGTTGTAGATTTACATGCAATTGTAAGAAATAATACAGAGGAATCCTAAAACCTTTCACCTGATTTTCTCCAATGGAATTATGCATAATTATTATGCAATAATTATGCAATAATCATGCATAATTACCATACAATATCACAACTAAGAAGTCAACATTGATAAAATCCAATGACTTTATTCAGATTTCACCAGTCCTACATACATTCGTGTGTGTGTGTGTGTGTGTGTATATTTAGTTCTATGTGATTTTATCACATATGCAGATTTATGTAACCATCATCACAGTCAAGACACAGTACAGTTCCATCCCACAGGTCTCTCATGCTACTGTTTTTATACTTGTTCCTTTCCTCCCTTTCTCCTTCCTCACCTCTCTAACTCTTGATAACCACTAATCTTTTCTAAGGCAGATGTATCTTTAACAGCCTTTTCAGGTAACCATGGATATTCTTTGATACCATAAAAAAGTAGTAGTCGCTTAAAGATTAGTTGCAGTGTGGAATGTGAAACCATTGTTAATGAACTTTTCTTTAATACACTTTGAATGGATCTTTTTGCATACTTTGGAGATACCAAAATGACATTGGTCGTTTGGAACATATTGGTTCTCTGAGCTATTTAGATTTTCCAAATGTTGCCACATCTCATTACCCAATATCAAAAATCTCATTAATTGATATCACTACCAATCTTATCAGGAAAGTCTTGTAAGTATTTGAAAAGTTGTTGAGCTCATATTAGCAGCTAAAAGCTTTCTAAAATCCTGGTTGTTGCTTGGAAGCTCAAATTTTAACACTGGTAACAAATACTGCCAGTGGTTTTCCACGGAATAAGAGATTCACTTTGTTCATTTTCAAGAAAATGTCTTCTTTTTTTTTTTTTTTTTTTTTTTTTGAGATGGAGTCTCGCTCTGTCGCCAGGCTGGATGCAGTGGTGCGATCTCTGCTCACTGCAAGCTCCGCCTCCGGGGTTCACGCCATTCTCCTGCCTCAGCCTCCCGAGTAGCTGGAACTATAGGTGAAATGTCTTCTTAATATCCAAGTCTGAATAATTATAATTTGTCTATCAATCATTCTTTCAAGTAAAAATGGTGTTCCATTAAAAAAGCAGGTGAGATCAATGTACAACTCAAAGAATTACCCAAGCGCTTTTTATTTCTTTTTATTTTTTTGAGACAGCGTCTTGCTCTGTCACCCAGGCTGGAGTTCAGTGACATGATCTCGGCCCACTGCAACCTCTGCCTCCCAGGCTCAAGTGATTCTGCTGCCTCAGCCTCCCAAGTAGCTGGGATTACAGGCGGGAGCCACCATGCCTGCCTAATTTTTGTATTTTTAGTAGAGATGGGGTTTCACCATTTTGGCCAGGCTGGTCTGGAACTTCTGACCTCAAGTGATCCGCCCACCTTGGCCTCCCAAAGTGCTGGGATTATAGGCATGAGCCACCACGCCCAGTCAAGTGCTTTTTCTTTAAAATGTCATCATACTTGGGTGTGCAGAAATGCTTTATATGCATTTCTCATTTTGTCATATAGAATATTAATCACCTGTACTGAGGATTTGAGAGTAAATAAAATCGGTATTTTTTACTGCTTTGTCAGGGACATTTTAAAGTGAACCTGGCATTTTTCTTGTACTGCATGTGCATGACACTGAAGAATACTACAGTTTGAAGCCACTACCTTGGTTTGTGCAACTCATCCTTGCTTTTTGCATCATCAGTGCAAATGTCAACAGAGTGAATAAAAGCAAATAACATTTTCCTAGAATTAGGAAAACAGTTTTGACCTTGTAGACCCCCTGAAAAGATCTCAGGGGTCTCTCAGGGGCCTCGGATCACACTAAGAACTGCTGAGCTAAGATAATAAGCGAAGCAGTAATTAGTTAAAGATTCCCAAACAGAAGGTGGTTCTTAAGGGTTGATTCTTCTTTCAAGACCAGCATTGGAGAATCCAAATACATATATAAAAGAGCAACCCCATACAGCCATTCCTTCTTTCCTGGACACTAACTTTTTGTCCTCTTTGTCTAATTCTTTTAAACTCTTTCCTTTTCTCATTCTTGCCACCATCTGTTTAAATATACATTTGCCACCCGATTTCTGTCTTAGCTCTCTGTTCTTGTGTTGCGATATATGTCCTTGGTGGATTGTGCTGGACTCGAAAGAGCAGATGTGGTTACAGTACATGCCTATGAGTAGGGCACGACACCAATGCTTTTCTCCAAATGCCAGATTTGGGGGGTTAAAAATAGCACCGAAGCAACAAATGATACATTTTAGGATAATCAAGCACAAGACAGACTCTCATCTGGGACAGTTTCCTGCTCAGAGGTACCAGATGGGGAACAGGTCCCAGAGAATCACACTGGTCGGTGATCAAGGAGGAGGAATCTGAGTTGTGGTGTGGAGGGTTACAGACACTTGGCACTCCTCTTAGTACCAGGCGTTCGACTCAAGAGAGGGGTAAAGTCTACCTAACCTAGAAGATTCTGCAGACTGGATTCCTCTGGAACGTGATGAGATTTGTTTTGGCAGGCAGCAGAAGGGCAGAGCACAGAGTCAGCCAGCATGAATGAAACGGATATAGTTTCAGATGGACGTTCTAAGTCAAAGGCACCCCCACCCTGCCCCAGCACTTCCCCACCCTTGATCTCTGCATGACCCAAGAGCGAAGTTTGCTTCAGTACCTGACATGCTGCTTAGGACACTTCTTCCAAAATACGATTTCCTCTACCCTTCTTCGTCTTTCTGAGTTCCTGGTTCTCTCCCGTTCCATCTTTATAATCAGTTGCCTCAGAGCAACACACCAATAAATTACCTTTTCTCTAAAACAATATTCCAGGTCATTTCATATCATTAATATCCACCTAGTTGCCCAAGCTCAAAGCCTGGGAAGAAGTATCTTGAACACTTCCCATAAACATCCACAATTCTAAAACCCAAGAAGCTCTGAAAATAAAAACCTGTTTTTGGAAGGTGGCACCAGAACTCATTTGGCATCAAAACTTGACTTGAAATGACATAAGGCTGTTTGTGGTGTTGATTTATCCCACTTGCTGAGAATAGTCTTACATTTTAGGACAGAAATATTAATGTGTTTGATTATAGGGTGCTGCCTCATACCCCACTGGGGAAAGTGTTAATGTTTTTTTGTGTACTATCATACTAAAGTCCCCCAAATTCTAAAATCATCAGATGCTCAAGTCCCATATGTAAACTGGTATAGTATTTTCATATAACCTATGCACATCCTCCTGTATACAGGCATGCTTCAAATTATCGTGGTTTGCAGATACTGCATTTTTTACAAATTGAAGGTGTGTGGCAACACTCCAAGAGCAAGTCTCTTGGTGCCATCTTTTCCAACAGCATTTGCTCACTTTGTGTCTCTGTATCACATTTGGCAATTATCACAATATTTCAAACTATTTCATTACTATGATATGTATTATGGTGATCTGTGATCAGTGATCTTTGATGTTACTAATTGTCATTGTTTTGGAGCACCACAAACCACACCTATATCAGACAGTGGACTTAATAAATGTGATAAATGGCTGGCTCCACTGACTGGCTATTCCCTGTCCCTTTCCCTTCTCCTCAGGCCTCCCTATTCTGAGACAGGACAATATTGAAATTAGTCCAATTAATAACTCTACAATGACCTCTAGGTGTTCAAGTGAAAGGAAAAGTCATACCTATCTCACTTTAAAGCAAAAGCTAGAAATGATTAAGCTTAGTGAGGAAGGCACGTGAAAAGCCAAGATAGGCTGAAAGCTAAGCCTCTTGCACCAGTTGCCCAAGTCATGAATGCAAAAGTTCTTGAAGGAAATTAAAAGTGCTACTCCAATAAACACATGAATGATAAGAAAGACAAACAAGCTTATTGCTGATATGAAGAAAATTTTAGCAGTCTGGATAAAAGATCAAGCCAGCTACAACATTCCCTTAAGCCAAAGCCTAATCCAAAGCAAGGCCTTAACTCTCTTCAATTCTAGAAAGGCTGAGAGAGGTGAGAAAGTTAGAAAGCTAGTAGAGGTTGGCTTATGAGGTTTAAGGAAAGAAGTCATCTCAACGTAAAAGTGCACGGTGAAGCAGCAAGTGCTAATGTAGAAGCTGCAACTAGTTATCCAGAACATCTAGCTAAGATAATTGATGAAGGTGGATACACTAAACAATAGATTTTCAATGTAGACAAAACAGTCTTCTATTGGAAGAAGATGCCATCTAGGACTTTCATAACTAGAGAGAAGTCCAGACCCGGCTTTAAAGGACAGGCTGACTCTCTTGTTAAGGACTAATGCAGCCAGTAACTAAGTTTAAACCAATGCTCATTTACTATTCTGAAAATCCTAGGGCCCTTAAGAATTATGCTAAATCTACTCTGCTTGTGCCATATCAATGGCACAACAAAGCCTGGATGACAGCACATCTGTTTACAGGATGGTTTACTGAAATTTTTTTTTTTTTTTTTTTTGAGACGGAGTCTTGCTCTGTTGTCCATGCTGGAGTGCACTGGCATGATCTCGGCTCACTGCAACCTCCACCTCCCGGGTTCAAGTGATTCTCCTGACTCAGCCTACAGAGTAGCTGGGATTACAGGTGTGCATCACCACACCTGGCCAATTTTTGTATTTTTAATAGAGATTGTTGGCCAGGCTGGTCTCAAACTCCTGACCTCAGGTGATCTGCCCACCTCGGCCTCCCAAAGTGCTGGGATTACAGGTGTGAGCCACCACACCTGGCCAGTTTATTGAATATTTTAAGCCCACTGTTAAGAGCTATTGCTCAGAAAAAAATGATTCTTTTCAAAATATTACTACTCATTGACAATGTATCTGGTCACCCAAGAGCTCTGCTAGAGATGCACGAGGAGATAAATGTTGTTTCCATGCCTGCTAACACAACACCCGTTCAGTAACCCATGGATTACAAAGTCACTTTGACTTTTAAGTCTTATTATTTAAGAAATACATTTTGTAAGGCCATAGGTGCCAAAGATAGCAATTGCTCTGCTATGAGATATGGGCAAGGTAAATAGGATTCACCATTCTAGATGCCATTAAAAACACTCATAATTCATGGGAGGAGATCAAAATATCAACATTAACAGGAGTTTGGAAGAAGTTGATTCTAACCCTCGTGAATGACTGAGAAGTTCACGACTTCAGAGGAGAAAGGAACTGCAGATGTGGTGAAAATAGCAAGCGAACTGGAATTAGACGTGGAGACTGAGGCCAGGCACGATAGCTCACACCTGTAATCCCAGCACTTTGGGAGGCCGAGGGGGGCGGATCACGAGGTCAGGAGATCGAGACCATCCTGGCTAACACAGTGAAACCCTGTCTCTACTAAAAATACAAAAAAAAAAAAAACCAAAAAAAATTAGCTGGGCGTGGTGGTGGGCACCTGTAGTCCCAGCTACTCGGGAGGCTGAGGCAGGAGAATGCCGCGAACCCAGGAGGCGGAGCTTGCATGAGCCGAGAAGTGGAGACTGAGAATGTGACTGAATTGCTACAATCTCATGATCAAACTTGAACAGATGAGGAGCGGAGTTGCTTCTTATGGAGAGGCAAAAAAAGTAGTTTCTTGAGATGGAATCTACTCCCAGAGGAGATGCTATGAACATTTTGAAACGACAAAAAGGATTTTGAATATCACAAACTCGGTTGGTAAAATAGCAGCAGGGTGGGAGAAGGATCACTCCAATTTTGAAAGTAGTTCTATTGTTGTTAAAATGGTATCAAACAGCTTCCCATGCTACAGAGAAGTCTTTCGTGAAAGGTAAAGTCAATCCATGTGACAAACTTCATAGTTGCCTTAAGAATTTGCCATAGCCACTCCAACTTTTAGCAACCACTGCCTTGATCAGTCAGCAGCTATCAACATAGAGGCAAGACCTCTGCCAGCTAAAAGATTATGACTTGCTGAAGGTTCAGATGATCATTAGCACATTTTACCTATAAAGTACTTAAAATTAAGGTATAAACATTCTTTAGACACAATGCTATTGCACACTTTATACGCTACAGTATACTGGAAACATAACTTGTATATATATGCACTGGGAAATCAAAAAATTCATGTCACTTGCTTTATTGCAGTGATCTGGAACCATGCTTGCAGTATCTCCAAAGTATGCCCATACTTTAAATAGTTAGATTACTTATAATACCTAATATAATGTAAATGCTCTGTAAATAGTTGTTATGCTGTATTTTATTTGTATTATTTGTATTGTTATTTTTTGGGTTTTTAAAAAACATTTTTGACCAGCTGTTGGTTGATTCTGTGGATGCAGAAGACCCACTGTAAAACTATTAACTCATTTAGTCTTCCTAAAAACCCTATAAAGTAGGTACTATTTATTATATTCCCATTTTATAGATGAGAAAACTGAGTCATAGAGAAATAAAGAAACTTGCTCAAGGTCACACAGCCAATAAATAGTTTGATCTGAGAGACAAAGAAAACTGAAAAGACAATAAATTTATCTTTATGTAACTCAGAATGTTACTGTATGTCCTATCCTCATAATATCTAAAATTGTCCCTTCTGTTATTGGAAGTACAGGATCCACACGTTAGGAAATTCTGGCCTACTACAGGATAATCTAATATTTTAGAATTTTAATAACTAAGCTCTTCTATCTTTTTAGCCTCATCACCTGCCACAGTAACCTACCAACGTCTGGCACCCAGCCATTGCCAATGCTTCCTAAACCCAAACCTGTGGGTTTCCAGGGAGACTGGGGCATTTTCCATCTGAGTAGACAGTAAAAATAAGCAAAGGATTTACCATCATGGAGCTTCTGGGACTATACCGACCACGGGTCACTCTGCGCTGCGATCTGTAACCTAGTCAGTTCTGAGATGCACGGTGGCTCAAACGCACTTAGCATGGTGACTTGCCACTCGCACTGGCCCAGGTCTGGCACCGCGCTACAATTTCTTCTGTAGCCCGTTCTGAGATTCTGTCACTCTCCCTGAACTGCAACTCTCTCTCTCCCCGCCACACCCTAAAGCCCCACATCTTCTCAACCCTCTCCCACCGCTTCTTGGAGAAGCGTCCCCTCCCTCAGTCTTACCTTTGGCTTAATTTAAACTCTCCCGAAAATTTATAGCGGATGACGGCCGATCCCGCCTCCCAGACCATGTGGGCGCGGCTCACCATTGCTCCGGAGCACCTGCGGCGGGGGCGGGGTGGGACCAGCCAGGCGGGCCCAGGGGGCGGGCCCGGCCCAAGGTGGTGGGGGACGGGCCCGGGCGCCAGGGGCGGGACGAGGCTCTGGGGACTGGCACAGAAAAGGGAAGTGAACCTGGCGAGGGCGGGGCGGGATGGTGCAGTTGGTGGGGAAGGGTGGGGCGAACCTAGGAAGGCGGTCCCATAGGGCGGGCGCAGACTGGGCGCCCGGGACGGGTCAAGGAGGGCGGAATGAACCTGGAGAGGGCGGGGCGGCTGGGGGAGGGGCGGGAAGGCCCTGGGGACTGGCCTAGGGGCGGGCCCGGGGGGGTGGGGGGGCGGTGCGGAATGGAGCCGGAGGGGGCGGGGCGGCCCTGGCGCGGCTAGGGTGGGGTGGGGCGTCCCAGGCTCTGGCTAAGGAGCGCGCGGCGGGCGGGCCGGCCGCAGGGCCTGGGCACGACCATGGTGGGACGTCGCCCGCGGCTTCGGGGACCGCTGCGGCAGCAGAGGCGGCTGGCCAGGAACGCGGGCCGAGGCTGGACCCTTTGGGCAGCTAGCCCGTGATCTCTGCCGTCACCGATCGCGATTCCTACCCCCTCGCCTTCCCCCGGCGCCGACGGCCACACCGCCGGACGATGCGCGCCCGCGGCCGCCCGGGAGGCTGAGCCCAGCTTCCCGCTCCGCCTTCCCCGCGCAGCTGCCCCCATGGCTTTGCGGGGCGCCGCGGGAGCGACCGACACCCCGGTGTCCTCGGCCGGGGGAGCCCCCGGCGGCTCAGCGTCCTCGTCGTCCACCTCCTCGGGCGGCTCGGCCTCGGCGGGCGCGGGGCTGTGGGCCGCGCTCTATGACTACGAGGCTCGCGGCGAGGACGAGCTGAGCCTGCGGCGCGGCCAGCTGGTGGAGGTGCTGTCGCAGGACGCCGCCGTGTCGGGCGACGAGGGCTGGTGGGCAGGCCAGGTGCAGCGGCGCCTCGGCATCTTCCCCGCCAACTACGTGGCTCCCTGCCGCCCGGCCGCCAGCCCCGCGCCGCCGCCCTCGCGGCCCAGCTCCCCGGTACACGTCGCCTTCGAGCGGCTGGAGCTGAAGGAGCTCATCGGCGCTGGGGGCTTCGGGCAGGTGTACCGCGCCACCTGGCAGGGCCAGGAGGTGGCCGTGAAGGCGGCGCGCCAGGACCCGGAGCAGGACGCGGCGGCGGCTGCCGAGAGCGTGCGGCGCGAGGCTCGGCTCTTCGCCATGCTGCGGCACCCCAACATCATCGAGCTGCGCGGCGTGTGCCTGCAGCAGCCGCACCTCTGCCTGGTGCTGGAGTTCGCCCGCGGCGGAGCGCTCAACCGAGCGCTGGCCGCTGCCAACGCCGCCCCGGACCCGCGCGCGCCCGGCCCCCGCCGCGCGCGCCGCATCCCTCCGCACGTGCTGGTCAACTGGGCCGTGCAGATAGCGCGGGGCATGCTCTACCTGCATGAGGAGGCCTTCGTGCCCATCCTGCACCGGGACCTCAAGTCCAGCAACAGTAAGTGGGGCCAGAGGGAGGTGGGGGAAGACTACCTCCGTGCCAGCCCAGGCGGGCTCCACAGGACATAGTACCAGATGGAAAGAGGTGGGAGTCAGCCTTAGGGCGCCAGCAGCAACTCATGCCCAGGCCTTCAGGGCTCGGAAGTCCAGCTAGTCCTTGGTTACTTGCTTTGGGGCTGGTGACACGCTTAACCTTGACTTGCCTTTGGGTGCTTTTTAAAAAAGTTCAGACCAGACTTGCTTGTAGAGGAAACATTTGTAAAATACCTGGATCTCCTAGAAACCTCAGGGGGCAGTCTGGCCTTTCAATACCAGAGGTGATTCATCTGGGTAGGACTTTGCAAACCGAGGCCTTCTGCAGATTATATGGAACCCATGACCGTCTTCACCCGGTGGCCTTCATCAAAGTCCCCGAATGCACTCGGGGACGTCAACTTTACAAGTGCTGTATTGAGGTTGCTGTTTGCCTATTCAAAATATGACTTCATGTCTCTTACCTTTTCCAAAGACTGTTTTCATTCAAATGTCTCTCTATGGGCCAGGCGCGGTGGCTCATACCTGTAATCCCAGCACTTTGGGAGGCCGAGGTGGGCGGATCACCTGAGGTTACGAGTTTGAGACCAGCCTGGCCAACATGGCGAAACCCTGTCGCTACTAAAAATACAAAAATTAGCCCGGCGTAGTGGCAGGCGCCTGTAATCCCAGCTACTCGGGAGGCGGAGGCATGAGAATCACTTGAACCCGGGAGGCGGAAGTTGCAGTGAGCCAAGATCGCGCCACTGCACTCCAGCCTAGGAGATAGAGTGAGACTCTGTCTCAAAAAAAAAAAAAGTGTCTCTACGTGAAATATGATTTTATTATTGGTTCAATGGCTTCTTTTCTCCAGACAAGAGGCACTGGTGTGCACCGTAATGCACTTTTGGGTTAATAACAAGTGCATTGTCCTTGCACAGGTACTTGAAACCTTGAAGACCTGGCCAGTGTCATTGACTTTGTTTATAAATCAGGGTGGATTTTCCAGATGTCAATAAAGAACTGACAAATGACTTAAATGCAAATCCTATGAAACTTTGCTGTATAAAAGAGCCTATAGAATTGCTGTTTGATGTTGGTTCTTTAATATTGAAGATCGCTTCATATTCTTATAATGAGATGAAATCCCAGGGAAGGTTAAAGGATGCAGCCAGCCCTGGCATTGGCCTACAACAGCTGGAGGTCTTTCAATCCTGTGAAACCTGCTAGGACAGGAGCTAGCTCAAGTGAAAACATTGTCCCTAAAGAAGAGTGACAAGAAGAAATTTACTTGAAAATTACTAATGTAGCATTTTCACTGGGAATTGTAAATAATTGGAATGTTGTAGCTAAGCATAAGCATTAGGTTTTATTTCATGATCCTCCTTCCCCCCAAGTCTCTCTATAATTTAGATTGCATCTGCTTAGGTGATGAGAGCAAAGTCTAACAAAATATGTTGTTACTGGTAGCGGTGTATTCTTAGTACTTTGACAGACCACATGAAGGACTATAGCATTGCTTGCTTTTGAACTGTGTTACAGTAAAAACAGAGCGCAATTTCCTAAAATATACTTTTCTTTCGATAATATATATATATTTTTTTCAATAAAAGAAACGTCTGACCAGGTGCTGCCATAGAATGGGTGACTTGTCCATGTGTTCCATAAGCCCTATTTCCAATGGTGTCCTGAAAGCCTGCGTCTGTTAGGAGTTTTCTGCAGAACCAGGTATTTTAAGGACATCAACAGCACCATTCATTCTTTCCCCTGCCTCTTGGCAGTTGCAGCAACTCTGTGACAACACAGAACCCAACATTCTGCAAATGTATCCAAATCATCAACACAAGCAAACACTTGGGTTGTACTGGTCCTTAGGCTAAAAAGTTAAAGGGCCTATAGCTATTACTTTTACACTGCACTTAGTTTTGTTTGGTTGCAATACTTTTCAAAGTTCATACAACACAGGGTAGAGAATGTTTGCTAGTGTTTTTAAAGCATGTTTTAAAGGATGTTTATCCATTCCTATGGGTTAATCCATAGGATTTATGGATCAATCAACAATCCATAGCAATTATTGCAAATAGTAAATTTTTATAAAGTTTTATAAAGTTTTATAAACTTTTATAAAATATAAATGTTTAAAGAACTCCTAATATTATTAAATGGTAAAAAGAAATAACATGACCCTGGAATAATAACTATGGCCGAACAGTTTTTACTGACACCAGAAAAACTTGTATAGTGGAGTATAGACTACTGTGTATTCAGTAGATATTACATAATTTGATGGTGATTACATGCTGCTACTTAGTTTTTGAAAGACTTTTCAGTCTCAGAATAAATTGCCAAACTTCCCGGAGTATTTTAATTTCTATAATTGTCAGGCAGGATTCCCTTTGCTTTAAATTGTTGCACTCTTATAAAAGACTTAATTAGCTAGTCACTAGCCTGGCCAAGTATTTGTTACAATATGACCATTATCATAGTTATTTAATTACTATAAAGTGAAGAGTTTGACTGGGGTCTAGAATGTGCAAACCATGGTGCCTCATACATGGTCTTTATCCTGAATGTCTGATTTTATTTGTTCAATGAATAAATGCAGATTTGAAATTCTCTGCTGATATATGAAGCTATGACTTCTTGTTTAGACTTTTAAGTATAACAGATACTCTATTGCAGTATGTTTTGTTTGATTTTATTGGATATTTGCTAATGGTGGTAGTGAGTTAGTGATAACGTAAACAAGGTTTTAAAAATCAATATTGAATTTTATTTTCACTCCGAAGTGTACTCATGTACCAAAGAGCTAATAGAAGACTACTTGGAGCCAATTCAGTGGAAATTACTGTTTTAAACAAATATTTAAATTTGTCTAGAGAATATGTTACTCTTGACAGATTTTCTTTTATCTTTTCTAGTAGATCTTCTCAAGTTTTATCATATCTTGTGAGGGAATGTCTGTGTCTAGATAATAGCTGATATGTTGTGAATGATATAAACAACTTTGTCCCTTTTCTAACAGGTAGCAACAGGTTGAAAGTTGTGCCAAGTTAGCAAGCTTTAAGCAACATTTATGTTTTAAATAAATACTAGGCCCTGTAACTCCCTTCTGGATGCAAAATAAGTAGAAAATACTTTATATAAGTCTACCTATAGGCACCCCCCAGAGAACAATACAAGGCAACTTTGAGTTACTGTGAAAATCGCCAGTGTTATGCGCATTTACAGAAGAGAGAAACATTGTGGAGAGCTGGAACTCATTCAACACTGTTGGAATGCCCACCCTGTGCCAGTCACTTCTGGGCCTCAGGGACACTGGCAAGCCAGACATCAATGACAACAAATCTGCCATCATAGAGCTTAGTCTAACGGGGAAGATAGATGGCAGTCACGTAATAACAAATAGATTAGAAAATGCCATCAAGAAAATTAAGCATGGTAAGGGGTGGAGAGTGGTAGAGTGGAGGATGGGGGTGCTGTTTCACACAGGGGCTCTCCAGGGAAGGCACTCCGAGGAAGGACCACGAATTCGTCAAGCAAAGACCCAGGCAAAGGAAAGAGGAAGCAAAAATGAGCCTTCCATATTGGAGGCCTAAGGAGAAGGCTGGTGAGGAGAGGCATGCGTGGGGCAGGCCTGGCAGGCCTCCCTCTGCTGTGCACATGGAGGTTTCACTTGGAGTGATGGTGCTGGCTTCTGTGAAGAACGGACTGCAGTGGGCTCAAGTGATGGCTTTCAAGGTTGTCTATATGAGAGGAGGCACCGACTCTGCCCAGAGTGGTAGCAATGGAAGTATTTTGCAGGGAGGTTACCAGGGGGCAGTGAAGATAAAATACTGCAATATAAGAATTCCCAAGGATGGTTTGAAATATTAGAATTTTGTTTAAGAGTTTTATTTATCAAATTGCAGAAGTGCAAGATTGAAGTAAGATTATGTGGCATCATGTATGGTTTCCTTTTTCTTTTTTGATGTTGCTTATTGTGTTCTATTTTTTTTTTCTTAAGAGGAAATAAACTTTCCATGGGGAACTGAGCCACAAATTATGGTAGCTACTTACTTTTATACTTTTTATGTCAGTGATTAAGCATTTATTATCTCAATTTTTTTAGTCTTTTAGGAATAATTATTATCTATCTACAGTATTATTTACAACTACAATAGTTGTATTTATTATGAAATGCCATTTGGAGCTCTTACTATGACAAACTGCAAAAGGAATATAAATTTTGTTTTAGCTTTTTTTCATTAGTACTGTGTAAATAAAAGAACTATCTGAGAAAATTATGGAAAATGTAATCTCCAGATAAGATGTTTAAATAGCTCATCAGAGTGATTTGGGGAAGCTACTAATTTCACTATTATCAGTTGTAAGACATAAGTTCCTTCTCTCTTCTGTTCTTATACTCAGGACATGTAGCTTCATGCTATAGCTGCTTCCTATTCCAGGAGGCACAGAGAAGTCAGTCCAGATGTCCCAATGGTAACTGAGATCTACATCTGCTTTTGAAACAAAGTTAGTGAAAGATTAGACTTTTAGAAGAATGGCAATCACAAAAGAGTCACCACATCTTCCCCCATCATTTTCATGTTTGCGTATTAAAAAGTAAGTAGCTGGCCAGGTGTAGTGGCTCATACCTATCTATCATCCTGGCACTTTGGGAGGCCAAGGTGGGAGGATCGCTTGAGCCCAGGAGTTTGAGACCAGCTTGGGGAACATGGTGAGACCCTGGACTACAAATATTAAAATTAAAAAAAAAAATAGGCAATGTCTTATTTTTTTGTAGTTGTGAGGGGTATAGCTAGTTAGTTCTGAATTATGCAAAGTATCCGTATTTGATCAGTTTTGTAATCATTATCAAGTATATCAAAGCAGGGTAAAGGAGACAGAGGAAAGTATTTATCTGCTCTACCCATTTAAGAAGGTCATTTGTAAGCCCTGCTTTTTCACACTAGCATTTAAGTGCTAAACCTACCAGAATAGTGCAGCTAAGGGAAACAGCATTGGCTTTTTTGTGTGTGTTTTTGTTTTTTTGAGACGGAGTCTCGCTCTGTCCCCAGGCTGGAGTGCAGTGGCACGATCTTGGCTCACTGCAAGCTCCGTCTCCCGGGTTCACGCCATTCTCCTGCCTCAGCCTCCCGAGTAGCTGGGACTACAGGCGCCCGCCACCACGCCCAGCTAATTTTTTTTTGTATTTTTAGTAGAGATGGGGTTTCACCGTGTTAGCCAGGATGGTCTTGATCTCCTGACCTCGTGATCCGTCCGCCTCGGCCGCCCAAAGTACTGGGATTACAGGTGTGAGCCACCGTGCCTGGACTTTTTTTTTTTTTTTTTTTTTAATACAAGGTCTTGCTGTGTAGCCCAGGCTGGTCTCAAACTCCTGGAGTCAAGCCATCATCTTTCCTCCTCAGCCTCCCAAAGTGCTGGGATTACATGTAAGAGACACCACCTCTGGCTCTATCTAGCATTGCCTTTAAAGTCAGTCAGATCTGGATTTGAATATCAGTGTCCTCATTTACTAGCTGTGTGACCTTGAGCAAGTTATATAACTTCATTGAGACTGATTGTCTTGATTTCTGATACTGTATTCGTTTCTTGGGAGATCTGTCAGAAGTCCTGTAGGGAAAATCTGTTTAATGTTTCTTAACCCATTAAAGCCAATTAGGTAAATACTGGCATAAAAACATATGGCTTTTTCAGGGAACAATGAGTAGTTAGGTGTAACTAGAATGAAAAGTGGAGAAAGGGTTTTTTTGGGGGGGAAGGAAACAGGCATTTCGCATGTGGTCAGGCAGTGAGTGCCATGGATGCCATACTAAGATGTGTGGACTATTTAAGAGGCAAGGGAGAGCCATTGATGGTTATTGAGGAGTAGTGTAGTATGATCTGCTGCAAGAAAACACATCTACAGAGAGAGAAACATAAGCTTGCGGTCATTGCTTTATGACTGTACTATCATAGATTGTCAGAATGGCAATAATAAAAACTAAAATAACTTACTTAGACATTGGTTTGACCACATTGTTTATCATTTACAATTCAAGCCTAGTTTTTAGCATCACAATTTGTTTACTGAATTAATTTAGACTACATTTTCTCTCTGATTTCTTTCTTTCTTTTTTTTTTTTATTATACTTTAAGTTCTAGGGTACATGTGCACAATGTGCAGGTTTGTTACATTTCTAACTACTTCCAAAATTGGAAAATATTCTCTAGCTTTACCGTGTCAGGCTGATGATCTTAACTCCAAATGTTAATGACTGTCCCCAAACTCTCTGAGGCTCCCCAAACCCTCTGAGGCAATCCAGGGCTCCCGAAAAATAGAAGCACCCCAATGAAGGAATTTTAATGGGCAGAGGGTTTTGTGGGGGACCTGGGAGAGCTGTGATGGCTTTATTTTGGAGCCTGAAACTTAAATTTGTACAGTTGACCCCTTGGCAGTGTGAATTTAGTTTTTAAAATTCATCTTCTCCAAATATTGCTTCACGTTGAGTGCTTTTAACTAAATAATAGTATTAATAATTGCAAAACCACGATTACTTGTACACCAACCTAATAGTAACAAGATGAGTTTTTAACATTTATTTAGGGCATATTAGATGCCGAGCACTACTCACAATTTATCCTCATTTATTTGTCACTACAACCTTTTGAGGTGGCGCTCTAATTATCCCCAATTTACAGGTAAAAAAAAAACTGAACTCAATGATTAACTGACTTGATCAAAGTCATTCAACCCATCAGAGGGGAGTGCTAAGAATTAAATCTGGGACCTCTGATCCTGGAACTTGTGTTTTATTGTCTCCGTATATTGCCTGGATTAACAGTTCTCAAATATTTGCTTTCAGGACTCCCAAAGAGCTTTGGTTTATAGCAATTAATATTTATCATATTAGAAATTTAAAATGATACATTTTAAAAATGTTTAATAATATGAATATAACAATAGACCCCATTACATCTTAACGTAGCATTTGTAATGGGAAAACCCCCATATTTTCCCAAACAAATTTAATGAGGATGGTGGCATTTATTTGCACTTGTAGAGTTCACTTTAATGCCAGACTTTGGGAGAAGACAGATGGATGTTCATATCTGCTTCTGCATTCACACTGTCACCATCTTAGGGAACCCCAGGGATCCCTAGACTATACTTTGAGAACCTCTAGGCTAAATGATTAGTTCTGTTGATCCAGAATGACACTCTTTAGCAGTAGTTCCCACACCTATTGTGGCGTCAGAATCTCTCTGAGAACTTTTTAAAAATAACATGTTCTGCCTCATTTTTGGATATTCTGCTTCAGTGAACCTTAGGAATAAGCGATGCATTTTTTCCCTAATATTTTATTTGGAAAATCTTGGAATATATAGAACTGACATAGTTTTAAGTGAAAATTAAAATTTTACTTAAGGCTGCGTATGGTGGCTCACACCTGTAATTCCAGTACTTTGGGAGGCTGAGGTGGGTGGATCACTTGAGGTCAGGAGTTCAAGATCAGCCTGGCCAACATGGTGAAACCCTGTCTCTACTAAAAATACAGAAATTAGCCGGACGTGGTGGTGGGTGCCTGTAATCTCAGCTACTTGGGAGGCTGAGGCAGGAGAATTGCTTGAATCAAGGAGGTGGAGGTTGTAGTGAGCTGAAATTGTGCCACTGCACTCCAGCCTGGGTAACAGAGCCAGATGCCGTCAAATAAATAAATAAATAAATAAAATAAAATAAAATAAAAAAATCCCTTAAAATTATTCACTTACAAAAATTATTTCACTTATAATCCCACTGCCTAGATTCTACCATTAACATTTCACTAATGTGCTTTAACATAGATTTAACCCATATGCATTCATTAGTCTATCTTACTTTATGAGGAAACAATAATTTTTCTTTGAAGATTCCAGATGATTCAGCAAATATAGATATACAGCAAAGTTTGAAAGCTACAGTTCTGAGGACCAGATTTATGGATTCCTTCTTATATGTTATCTGGGTTGATATAGAAATTCTTCCATGGCTACAGACTATATCCAAATCAAGTAACTGTCTGCTGATAAATGTATGGTAAGTCATAGCAGGAGCCAGGTGACAGTATGCCTGATGTATTCTGGCGTATGACTCTGGGAAAAGGAACATCTCAGAGCGTTTGTTCCTTTCACATTGGAGGACAAATGGTGTTATTTGTGGTAGTAGGTTTGAGCTCTGTCTGACTCCACTAGCTTTTTGAATAGGGTGACGTGAGGATTAAGTGAGACAGTGTATGTCTGGGGTCGGCAAATTTCTCCTGTATAGGGCCGGATAGTAAATCTTTTTGGTTTTGCAGCCCATATGGTCTCTGTTTGCAACTATGTAATTCTGCTGTTGTAGCCAAAAAAAATCCTTGACAATATGTAAACAAATGAATGTGGCAGTGTTCCAATAAAACTTTATTTACAAAAGTGGCATTGTGCTGGATTTAGCCTGTGGGCTCTAGTTTGCCAATTCCTCATATATGTCAAAGAATTTAGTAAACTGTAAGACAAAATTTAAATGCAAGCTGTTGACTATATTCATTTTAATATTTTACTTAGAAACACTTCTAAGTGTTTTACATTTAAAATATTTGTGCTTTAAATATTTCCTAATGTTGTGTGTGTGTGAACTCATTGATACCTAAACATTTTCTACAACTCTTTACAGCCTAATAACGTTACTATTTTTATTCTTTCTGCAAAATCAGGTGTCACTTAATCAGGTATTTGTTCATCTTGGTTGGAGGTGAGGGTCTTTTTAATTTGGCTAACTTGGGTGATTCCAGGCAGCCTGCAGTATGAGGAAACAGTTCTGAGCCTTGTTCCCTGCAGGTGTGCTGAGATCTGTACACTTTGGCAGGCCTGCTGGTGACTTGGGTTGATAAGTTGGGTCAAGGTGGAGGCATAAAGTATTAAATTGCTCTTGTAACTGTTTCACTACCACGGTTCATTACTAGTTTGTGCATTTTTTAAGCTATTGGAAAAAGAGCAAATCACATTCCATTTCGGGAAGTATCTTGATGGCATATAGGATGTTTGAATTGTTACTTCTGAAGATTTGGCTTCACGTGATTTTAAGTGGTTTATTTTGTTTCAGATTTTCTGCAAATAATGCATCTGGTTGTATTAAATATGTTATGTTCTTGCTAATATATTAATGTAGAATATTATGAAAGATTTCTGCCTCAGTATGCTTTATTATGTACCTTGACTATTAAAATACTAACATGATAGAAATTTAGAGCTAGACTTTACATACAATGAAATGTAAGTGATTTTCTCATTAAAACTGAGTATACTACATGTCCATGTAAAGGCTTGTCCCATGAAAGATGGATTTTATTTCAGTATATGAGCAATGTGAAGTTCTGTTTTAGCTTATCACATCTGTTTTTTCTTTACAGAAGCCTGTCTTCTTGTATTTGGTATGCTAGCTCTTTCATTTATACAACAGTTACTTGTTGATCATATATTATATGCGGAACTCTCCTAGGCGCTTGGTATTGTGTAGTGAACAAAGCAGACACAAATTCCTCCCTTAAGGATCTTGTATTCTAGTGAGTGAGACAGACATTAAGCAAAATAAATAATGTGTAGTATCTTGGAGAGTGGTAAGTGCTTAGTATAAAAACTAAAGTTGCAAAGGAGGATGGAAATGTTGAAGTGAGCAGTCAAAGATTGTGTGTCTAAGCAAAGTCTTGCAGAAAAGATGGATTTTCAGCAGTATCTAAGTAAGTGAGGAAATGGGTCATCTGGGAAAGAACATGCTTGTTACAGAGAACAGAAATTGCAAGATTTCTAAAACAAGAGGCCAGTGTGCTGGGAGAAAAGTGAAGGTGGGCAGAACAGCAGCACATGAGGGAGAAGCAGGGATCCCTCAGACTATGCAGTCTTGGGGGCCCTACAGGGTCTTTGACTTTTACTACGACGCAAGAGACTTTTGAACAGAGGAGAGCTGTGGTCTGATTTACATATTAACAGGACTATACTGGCAGCAGTTTTGAAATTTGATGAAGGGGAACCAGGTTGGAAATATGAATGTGAGAGTCATCAGCATGAAAAGGTATGTAAAGCCCTGAGATTGGCTGAGATTATCTAGGGAGTGAGTGTAAATAAGAAAAAACTAGACAGAGGTCCACGGACTGAGTCCTCGTAGTCTCCAGTCTTTAGAGGTCAGGGAGACAGGGAGGACCCAAGAATAGCTAGAAGTAAAGGGTAAAATCAGGAGTGTGGAGACCAGTGAAGAAAGTATTTCAGGGAAGAATGATCAACCGTATCAAATGCCACTGATAGATGAATATTCAAATAACTGTTTTGCTACAATTATTTTTAAAACAATCATTTCTTCTTCTTCTTCTTCTTCTTCTTCTTCTTCTTCTTCTTCTTCTTCTTCTTCTTCTTCTTCTTCTTCTTCCTCTTCTTCTTCTTCTTCTTCTTCCTCTTCTTCTTCCTCTTCTTCTTCCTCTTCTTCTTCTTCCTCTTCTTCTCCCTCTTCTCCCTCTTCTCCTTCTCCTCCTTCTCCTTCTTCTCCTTCTTCTCCTCCTTCTCCTCCTCCTCCTCCTCCTTCTCCTCCTCCTTCTCCTCCTCCTTCTCCTCCTCCTTCTCCTCCTCCTTCTCCTTCTTCTTCTTCTTCTTTTTTTTTTTTGAGGCAGGGTCTTTCTCTGTTGTCCAGGCTGGAGTGCAGCAGTGCTATCACAGCCCAGGACAGCCTTAACCTCCTGGGCTCAAGTCATAATCCTACCTCAGCCTCCCAAATAGCTGGGGCTATATAGGCGAGTACCATGATGCCCAGCCACTTTTTAAGTTCTTTTGTAGGGGTTGGTTCTCACTGTATTGCCCAGATTGGTCTTGAACTCCTGGGCTCAAGTGATCCTCCCGCTTTAGCCTCCCAAAGTGCTGGGATTACAGGCTTGAGGCACCACATCTGGCCAAGAGTCTTCATTTCTTAATGTCCAGATCCTAATACATTTTTAGGAGGGTAGAGGTGAATCGATTTTCTGTAATTAGCAGCTGACTTAACATGAAAGAAAAAGCTTATAATAATTCATCTTCTTCATATTCATTCTTCCCTAAGAGTATTCATTATTAATTTCCTCATTCATTCAGCAAACACTTGAGCCTGTTAAAATGCCAGTTGCTGTGCAGTATTAAAAAAAAAGATTAATTAGGCACAAGTTCTATCCTCAAGCTGCTTACAATTTAATAAGATGAAATTGTAATAAGGAAGATAAGGCAGGATTTAAGTGTAACGGGCAAGGTACAGTCTAAGTGTATTAGAATGCAGAGAAGTAGCTGAGGTTAGGCAAAAGGCAATGGGGAGATGTTGCTTATAGACTCATCTAATATTGGAGCAGGAAGTGTCCAGATTCCAAAGGCCAGTGGACTTGTAAGTGGCTTCACAGTTAATGCCATGGCAGCCTGGACTAAGAGCTCAGTGCTGGTGCCCTGATTGAGTGGGAGGTCCAGTAGGAAGTGTGAGTTTTATAGAGGGCGGAAGAGGAAGGCATTCCATTCTGTAAGGAGGCACAGGGCAGTGGGGAGACAGAAAAAGGCAATGCTGTAGATTTTAGAAATGGCACACAGAATTGTTAGAATATAGGGTTCATTCAGGAGAGTACAAAAGAGAGCTGGAAGGATCATTTAGAATGAGATTGAGAAGGGACGGAGGCCAAAATGAAAGTGTGGGCTTTACTCCCTAGGCTGGATAGTGAGTGGGGTATGTGTCCGGGGTGGGAGTCAGGGGAAGGGGGAGGCAGATGGTGCTAGGGGTGAAGGGGAACTGGTGCCACTAGGAAATGGGTGAAAAGAAATATGAGAAACATTCTATGCTATGTGATAAATTGAGAAAGTTATCATTCATTCCATATAAATTGTGGATTGTCCTCAAAGTTGAAATTTATAAAGTTTCATGAAGTTTTTTGTTAATATATTCTTTCACATTATTGCTTTTCTCAACTTGTTTTCTTGCTTATGACTTTTTTTGGATAATACATTTCCAGTTAAAGATTAATCGAAACTCATTTGACTCATTAAATAATTTGGACACAGTGATCCCATCAATGTTGAGAACATGATGTACATAATAATTGCTTTTTTAAAAATATACATTATATACTATAATTCTGAAAATACCAATGTGAAACTTCAAAGGAGCTGAAAAAATTCTGTGCCTCATGGTTGAATAAGTAGGCTAAGTACAAGGTTGTAGAGGCCAATTGTTAAAGAATGGGGCTAACGAGGGTCAAAAATCTTTACTGAAGTCACAGGAAAGGGTGCTCAAACAGTTGTTGCTAGGATACTCACAAGAATTTACCATTTCTGTGGCCAAAAAGGTTAGTTTGCCTGGTTTGTACATTAAAATCAGTGGTGACCAGCTAGTGCACTGTGGTTCTTCCTGCGTGAATGACAGGAAGCGGAAGTTGGCTGCCAACCATGTGTCTTTAGGCTGAAACCTGGCAGTGTGCCCCATTATATTACCTGTTGTGAGATGGGCTATTTTTGGTTTCAGTCACTTTGTCCAAAAGATATGGAATTCCAGGAATTCTGCTGAACACCTCTGAGATGGAATCCAAAACAATGGGCTTTTCATGGTACCCTAAAGGGTTGACATTTGGAGTGTGATTTGAACTTGTTTTCCGTGAGCCTGCAGTGTGGAGGTGCCTGGCTCCTATGGAAACTCTGGACCTGGGGAATGGGGGCTGGTGTTCTGAAACTGTCAGAACCAAGTCTGCTAATATCATACGCTGCCATCCGTTTATTTGGGAATGAAGTTTGTTAGTGTTTGGTTTTTAGTTCTCACTTTTGACTCTGTTTTTATTATTTAGAGCAGACTTTCTTTGACCTTTGCATCGCAAGGGCTGCCAGCCCTTACTTGGGGTCTGGGTGTGGATAAGGAGGCAAGGAAGTGTTTTGAGGCCTATTTTCATCAGTCGTTTCTCATGTCTGCCTGCCTGGAGGTTTGTAAGAATGAGGAGATAATGTGTATAAAAGTGCTTTGAGAAACAAAGTTTTATAGAACTGCAAGCCATTTTGATCATTAATTTGGGGTCTTTTGGTGATAGGAACAATTATTGTTTAAAGGTGAAATTAATGGTATTTCTAGAAGGAAAACATAATGCAGCTGATGAAAAAAAAAAGCTAATTAATTCCCCTGTATTTTGTTGTTGTTGTTGTTTCAGCTTTCTGTGGTTTCAGTATGTAGGGTTTAAAGGATTGGGGATCTAAATCTCTTTTTCTGTAGGTATTTATTTTTCTTTATATTCATAGGGAATAAGGACTGAGAAATAAATATACCTTTAACTGATGTGGATGGAACATTCAAAAATTAATCTCACAGAATGAGATTTCTGGTTGCTTTGCCCTCTTCTTATAACCAATAGCTTCTGAGCAGAACAGAAAAGGGCTGGGGATGAGCTCCAGCTCTGTGTTTCAGCCCTTTGATCTTGGATAACATTTCTAGGCTCTGAGCTGGAGATTATATTCCTGCCTGGTAGACTAGTGTCACAATCAAATGAAATATTAAATGTGTGGAAACAACTCTGCATAGCAGAGGGTTGGTAAATGGTGGGCAATATTCTTATTATTTGAATTGGTGATAAGTATCATTAACAAAAGATATTCCATTGAACATTGTGATGTACAAGGAACTATGTTAGGCGATATGGAGGATTCGCAGAATGCTATAAAATACATTTCCTGCGATTAAAGTAGCTTGTACATAGCTTTGTTAGAGAAGTCTTAGGTAAAAAGATAACTGACAAAATAATGTCATATGTGAGTAGCAAATGATAGGGAAGATAAAATCATTCACAATTTTGTGGAATGCTTAGGGGGTTTTTCTAAGGAAGCTGGTCCTTGAAAATTGGGACAGTATAGATGGATAGGAAGAATGAAAGGTTATTTCAAATGGAAGTGGGTCTCTGATTTCCTTCCTCCCTGCCTCTCTCACCCTCCTTTTCTCCATCCCTCCCCATGTAGTATAGCATTAAGAGTAAGAATGGTAGCATGTTGGCCTTACTGTTTAGCCACTGTGTAACCATGGACATATAGCCATCCTAAATCGGATTCTTCATATCTATAATGGAAATAAGAATAGAAGAGATGGTTCTTGCTCTCTAAATTTCAGTTACAAGATGACACGGGGAAAAAAGTTGTAACCCAACAGTATTTATTCAGTATCAATTACTTACCTAATAAGCCCCTACTCAAATAACCCTCCACATTTAAACCTAGTGTTGGTTTCCTCCAATTGGGTTCCCTCCAATTGCATTAGCTCCTATGACTGCCTGATATTATAAATGTTTGACAATGTAATACAATCAAAATGCACATCCATTGTGAAATCTCAAGCCTTGAAAAAGAGGCAGGATTTCCTGAAGTTCATGAAATTGATTTTGAAGGCTTGCTAAAAACACTTTCAAACCCATTAATAAAAGTGTGTGTGTGTGAAATTCTTATAGAGTAATTACCATGTCTCAGCCACTGTTCTGAGCACTTCACATGTATTCATTTACTCCTCCCTACAATCTTATGATGTAGGTACTATGGTAATTCACAAGACAAGCAAGGAAGCAGAAGCACATGGGATCCAAACCAGGCGGGTTGGCCCTAGACTGCATGCATTTCCTCACCACTCTACACTGCCTCTATTTAGATCAGTTAATAATTGACCAATGGCAGGAAATCAAAAGGGAGGAGAATGGGCACCTGAGTAGAGAGAGATTTCCAAAGGATAAATAAAGATTTTGTGAAAAATTAGTAAAAGCTGTCAACTAAATGAGTACATAGTGGTTAGGACCATAGGCTCTGGAGTCAGACTGCTTGAGCTTCACTGCTCCTTAGCTCTGTGACCCTGGACAAATTACTGAACATCTCTGTTCCTCAGTGTCTTTATGTATGAAGTGGAGATAATAGTATCTACCTATAGCATTGTCGTATGGGTTATGTAATTAAAATACCTACAACCTCACCTGACAGGTAGAATATACTCAGGAGTGTTAGTTTTTACTAAAACTAACATTTGAAAAAAATGACCCTCTTTATGATTATGTTCTGCAAACCAGATACCCTCTCCTCTTTCTATAGAAGGGATTAGCTAGAGGAGAGGGTGGCAGCCTCCAGCTGCATTAGAGCCTCGTGGACAACCTAGGGAACATTTCTGCATGGTTCTAGGCAGAGGCAGATCAGCCAAAGGGAGAGGAGCTGAAGGTGCTTGGAAGGGCCAGGTAGGAGGGTGCAGGTGAGGAGTGAATGAAATGCTCATGGATACGAAGAGTCAAAATCATGAAAATGGCCATACTGCCCAAGGTAATTTATAGATTCAATGCCATCCCCATCAAGCTACCAATGACTTTCTTCACAGAATTGGAGAAAACTACTTTAAAGTTCATATGGAACCAAAAAAGAGCTCACATTGCCAAGACAATCCTAAGCAAAAAGAACAAAACTGGAGGCATCACACTACCTCTCTTCAAACTATACTACAAGCCTACAGTAACCAAAACAGCATGGTACTGGTACCAAAACAGAGAGATAGACCAATGGAACAGAACAGAGGCCTCAGAAATAACACCACACATCTACAACCATCTGATCTTTGACAAATCTGACAAAAATGAGAAATGAGAAAAGGATTCCCTATTTAATAAATGGTGCTGGGAAAACTGGCTAGCCATATGTAGAAAGCTGAAACTGGATTCCTTCCTTACACCTTATACAAAAATCAATTCAAGATGGATTAAAGACTTAAATGTTAGACCTAAAACCATAAAAACCCTAGAAGAAAACCTAGGCAATACCATTCAGGACATAGGCATGGGCAAGGACTTCATAACCAAAACACCAAAAGCAATGGCAACAAAAGCCAAAATAGACAAATGGGATCTAATTAAACCAAAGAGCTTCTGCACAGCAAAAGAAACTACCATCAGAGTGAACAGACAACCTACAGAATGGGAGAAAATTTTTGCAATCTACCCATCTGACAAAGGGCTAATATCCAGAGTCTACAAAGAACTTAAACAAATTTACAAGAAAAAACCAAACAACCCCATCAAAAAGTGGGCAAAGGATATGAACAGACACTTCTCAAAAGAAGACATTTATGCAGCCAACAGACACATGAAAAAATGCTTATCACTACTGGTCATCAGAGAAATGCAAATCAAAACCACAGTGAGATACCATCTCACACCAGTTAGAAGGGCGACCATTAAAAAGTCAGGAAACAACAGATGCTGGAGAGAATGTGGAGAAATAGTAACGGTTTTACACTGTTGGTGGGAGTGTAAACTGGTTCAACCATTGTGGAAGACAGTGTGGCGATTCCTCAAGGATCTAGAACTAGAAATACCATTTGACCCAGCAATCCCATTTCTGGGTATATACCCAAAGGATTATAAATCATGCTACTATAAAGACAAATGCACACGTATCTTTATTGCAGTACTATTCACGATAGCAACAACTTGGAACCAACCCAAATGTCCATCAATGATAGAATGGATTAAGAAAGTGTGGTATATATACACCATGGAATACTATGCAGCCGTAAAAAAGGATGAGTTCATGTCCTTTGCAGGGACATGGATGAAGATGGATACCATCATTCTGAGCAAACTGTCACAAGGACAGAAAACCAAACACTGCATATTCTCACTCATAGGTGGGAATTGAACAATGAGAACATTTGGACACAGGGTGGGGAACATCACAAACGGGGGCCTGTCATGGGATGGGGGGCAGGGGGAGGGATAGCATTAGGAGAAATACCTAATGTAAATGACGAGTTAATGGGTGCAGCAAACCAACATGGCACATGTATACCTATGTATCAAACCTGCACCTTGTGCACATGTACCCTAGAACTCAAAGTATAATAATAATAATAATAATAATAATAATAATAATAAAAGCACATTTGTTGTAGTTGCAGAGCTACACAAGAGCTCAGGGACAGATGCTGGCATCAGCTTCACTCCCGGGAGTTCCCCCTGTGCATCCTCTACATTGGCAGGAGGCTGGCATTGAGAAAACCAGCAACTGGATGACCACTGTGTTTACTTTTTGCTACATTTTGAGCTCCAGTAAAGCAATTATATCTCCTACATTATCTTTATCAGTTAAAGAATCTATAAGCACTTTGCAAATTTAATGTAAGATAATGTTTGATAATAATCAGCTATGGTAATATATCATCTAATTTCAATATTCTCCACTTCAGTAGAAAACATTCTGTACTTAGGTCAGAAAATAATGTATTTTTTCATATCAGGTAAATTTTTACAGACTTCTGATCCTACTTGTGATATCTCAGGAAATGTTTCTTGCTCTTAGAAATCATTTACTTTCTCAGAAAGAGAACTACTCATAAAGAGCTCTAAGTTGTGTCTTAAAATAACTTGTAACTTCAGGCACAGATAACCCACTAAAGACTACAAAATCTGTGCTGTAAGTAAAATGGTAAAATGCAAGTTTATTCTTGTTTATTCTGCCAACTACAGTGAAGATTGTGTTTTACATGCCACAGAAAAATTGTGACAGAAAAATTAAAAGAATATGCAAATGTCTCACTTTTGATTTTTCTTTAGTTTTGCTACTTGAGAAGATAGAACATGATGACATCTGCAATAAAACTTTGAAGATTACAGATTTTGGGTTGGCGAGGGAATGGCACAGGACCACCAAAATGAGCACAGCAGGCACCTATGCCTGGATGGCCCCCGAAGTGATCAAGTCTTCCTTGTTTTCTAAGGGAAGCGACATCTGGAGGTGAGCCTTTCCTTTTGCAAACATCGGCAGAAACTGCTTGCTATGCTTTATTTCAGTAAGTCCCAAAGTATTCAGTAATTCTCAGCATAAATAGTCGAGGCCTTTTTGAATGAATTTTTATGGTTTTGATCAAAATAATTGTAATGACAACGGAACAGATAATTTGATGTTTGCATTGTCATATGACTCCATTTCAGAGGAGAACTTTCTAGTTAAATCACAAGTTTAGTTAAAACTGGTTATAATTTGAATTAACACTAAATTCCCAAGATTTTGTAGGATGCGCCAGTAAATTAAAGTGAATTTTCCGTGATGCAATCATGGCTCATTGTAGCCTCAACCTCCCAGGCTCAAGTGATCTTCCCTCCTCAGCTTCCTGAGTAGCTAGGACCACAGGTGTGCACTACCATGCCTGGCTAATTTGTGTGTGTGTGTGTAGAGGAGCGGGGGTTTAGGAGGGAGAGTGTCCACTATGTTTCCCAGGCTGGTCTTGAACTTCTAGACTCAAGTGATCCACCCACCTCAGCCTCTCAAAGTGCTGGGATTACAGGTGTGAGCCACTGCACCCAGCCTGAATTGACATTTTTAACAAACTTTTGATTCCTTGTGACTCACAGGCAATATTAGCATGGAAGGAATTTAAGAAAAAAATTTAGACCTATCCTTCATTTTATAGATTGCATCATCTAAAGATTAAAGTCTCCTATTTGAAGACTGGGAGCTGCACTCAAATGGATTACCAGGTTATTTTGACTTTCCATTCAGCTTTGTCTCATTAGAAGGATGCTAACAATTACAAAATAACAAAGAAAAATCACACTGTTTAATAGTTATGATGCACCTAGAACTTACTTGCCATTGTTTAGTGCTCATAAAATCCTGTTAATAAAGAAAATGTGGTGCACGTACACCATGGAATACTACACAGCCATGAAAAGAGTGGAATCACGTCCTTTGCAACATGGATGCAGCTGGAGGCCATTATCCTAAGTGAATTAATGCAGGAATAGAAAACCGAATATCACATGTTCTCACTTATAAGTAGGAGCTTAACATTGGGTACTCAGGGATATAACGATGGCAACAGTAGACGCTGGGGACTAAGAGAAGGTGGAGGGAAGGAGCGGGGAAAGGGCTGAAAAAGTAACTCTTGGATACTATGCTCAGTACCTGGGTGACAGGACCATTTGTATCCCAAACCTCAACATCACACGACATACCCAGGTAATACACCTGCATGTGTACTCCGTGAATCTGAAATAAAAGTTGAGAAAGAATTTAAAAAAGGATAGATGTAAAAAAACAAAATAAAATCCTGCGTTAATCATTAAAGTTCCATTTTTTTCTGTTTTTAACAGCTTCGTTGAGATATGATTCACATACCACGAAACTGATGCATTTAAATTGTACAGTTTGATGGCATTTTGTATATTAGTAAGTTGTGTGTCCATCATCCCAGTTGATTGTAGAACATTTTCTTTCATGCAGAAAGAAAACCTGTCACCCCTTACCTATTGTCCCCAACTCCCCCTTCCCTCTCAGCCCTAGGCAACCACTCATTTATGTTCTGTATCTTGACTTTTGTTTATTCTGAACATTTTATGTCAGTGGAATCTTAGAATATTCCTTTGTGACTGGCTTCTTTCACTGAGCCTAATGATTTGAGGTTCATCTATGTCAGAGCATGGATCAATACCTCCTTCATTTTTATGGCTTAATCATAGAGTATTACTGTACCACATCTTGTTTACCCATTTATCTCTGGATGGACATTTGGGTTGTTTCCAATTTTTGGCGACTGCAAATAGAACTGATAACAAACATTCCTGAACACATTTTTGTGAGAACGTGTGTTTTCAGTTTCCTTGACTATATATCTAGGAGTAGTAGTGAGATTGCTTGGCCATATGGTAATTCTGTGTTTAATTCTTTGAAGAAGCATTAGACCATTTTCCAAAGTGGCTGCACCTTCTTTTTTTTTATTCCCACCAGTAGAGTGTCAGGGTTCCGATTTCTCTCCATCTTCCTTGTCACTTGTCATCTGACCTTTTGATTCGGGCCGTCCTTGTAGGTGTAAAGTGGTATCTCATGGTTAAAATTACAATTTTAGGATTTTGTTATTACTTTTTTTTCCCTTTTTTTACATAAAAGAAAACTGGGAATGAGAGAGAGAAATACTTGCTAAGAGTCCAGTACTTGTAAGTGCCGGAACCTTTTAAGAACCCAGGTCTGCCTGGCTCTCAGATTCATGCTCCACAAAAATTGTTTTTCCTTTTAAATCTTTGGAAACACTAGAAGTTAGTCCCTCAAATTCACAGCTGAAGTCAGTGGCAGAGACCCCTGTCAGTAAAAGTTCCATAAAACTGCCTTCCATTTAAAGCTTATCTTCTGCATTTAAAATTATGATTTAATTGTTCTACTTAAAGCTTCTAAGAAATTTATCAGTTGGATCAGGGTTCTATAGTGTCTTAGGGCCAGTCTGAAAAATACAAGTGCTTGAGCCTCACCCCTTGATGAATTAGACTGTCTACTGGTGAAGGCTGAGCGTGTGTGTTTTTATAAACCGTTAAATGTGTTTTCATTGAGTTAATGACTAATTTTAGTAATTTAGTAATTTAATTTAGTAATTTTCTAACCATATGAAAATATCAAATTACATAAGTGACATTGGCTATCTTTTTAAGATATTATACTTCAAGACTCTAAAAACTATTAAAATACATCGTAAATCAATTACATTCAAAATAATGTATCTTAAGACTATGAGATCTTATTACAAACTATGCTTTTATTAGAAACTATGTAATTACCAGGTATACGAATGCTGTGCGGTCATGCTCTATAGCAACCTTGTCTATCATAAACAGGGGAGAATCAAGAAGTAAGCAGAAGAGAAAAAAAGGAAAAGAAAGTTGCTAAAACCAACCAAAATATGGGCCTTTAAGCCCCACACATTCTCTAGAGAAGTCACCTCTCAAAATTGATTTATTTACAAAGTGCGATGATCTGATTTTCATTAAAAGCAGAAGATACCAGCCGGGCATGGTGGCTCATGCCTGTAATCCCAACACTTTGGGAGGCCGAGGTGGGCAGATCACAAGGTCGAGAGATCGAGACCATCCTGGTCAACATGGTGAAACCCCGTCTCTACTAAAAATACAAAAATTAGCTGGGTGTGGTGGTGCACGCCTGTAGTCCCAGCTACTTGGGAGGCTGAGGCTGGAGAATCACTTGAACCCTGGAGGCAGAGGTTGCAGGGAGCCGAGATCATGTCACTGCACTCCAGCCTGATGACAGAGCAAGACTCTGTCTCAAAAAAGAAAAAAAAAAAGGCGAAAGATGAAATACAGAAATGGTCCTCTGTATTTAATATGTTTTTCTTTCCATTACCTACTTTTCACCTGAGGTTTTTTCCCGTTACTAGCTTGGCATCCCTCTCCCCTCTTCTAATTAGCTCAAGTCCCTGATATAAAAAGGCATAGTGTTTGCATATAGCCTGTGCACATCCTCCCGTGTACTTTAAAGCATCTCTAGATTACTTATTATTACCTAATACAATGTGAATGTGGTGTAAATGGCTGTCGTTCTGTATTGTTTCGAAAGTTGTATTGTTATTTTTTGTTGTTTTTTTTTCTGAATATTTTCCACACGTGATTGCTTGAATCTGCAGATGTGGAGAGCTGACTGTATTATTAAAAAAACTGAGAAACTACCGATCCCTGGCGCTGCTTAGTTGTAGGGTCAAACATTTCTGCATATCTCCGGAACCCATTCATATACAAAAGCACATTGTAGGATATCCGGATGGGCAAAAGCAGGGCAGGTCATCTCTTTGAATTATAGATACCATTGCTGTAAAGTCTCTTTCGATGATATTTCCATAAAAAAAAGTTTCATTCAAAAAGCATGGCTTTACCTATGCAGTGCTAGGGATTGGTGATTTTATATTTCTTGATTTTCTTCTCTTCTCCTCCCTTCCTTCTAACAGTTACTGTACTACAGAGTAATTGTCTTATGCACTTAGATATTGTTATCTAATTTTTACAGCTCTTATTATCCTGGTTTTGCAGGTTAAGTAGCCGAGGCACAGAGAAGTTAAGAAATTTGCTTAGAGTTGTAAAACTACTAAGAAGCAGATTTTAGGTCCAGGGCTGAGATCCATGACTCCCGACTCACAGCCCTGAGTCATTACAATTCTGAGTTCTCAGGAGAGCGTTTCATTATACTATCTTCTACCTGGTTTAAGAGAACAGAAAAATGTGTACTATACTTTAGAAGTAGTTCCATTGAAAAAGTTACATTTCTTTTCACATTGGTTTTTCATGGGATAAGCCCTCCTCTCTCTGGAAAGATGATCCATCCTAGATTATTCATTTCCTGAAACTTGCAAGAAGCAGAGTTATATTGCTATTTTTTTAAGTTTTGTTATTTGTTAATAGGAATTTCTTTGAATTTAGACAATTTTAGTTATTCTATGTAAGTTTTTTTTGTTTTTGTTGAATGATCTATGAGTTAAGTTTACTTATTTTTGAAATTATGAAGATGTCTCCTATAATTAACTATAATATAGATGATTTTTAAGAAAATTATCAAAAGGAAACACATAAGCTTTGGAAAATAATGATTTTAACTTTAGCTAATAGTTACAGCATTGTATAATTTACAAGTAGTACATTAAATATATTATATATTTCCTTTTTGAGATAAAACAATGTTTTGAGATGGTAGAGTGGATCTCACTATTATTTGATAGAAGAGTTCACTGAAGATCAGCTTTAAGGGCCTTGTTAGTGGAGAAATAGCTTGTGAGCAGTAATACCAGCACTTTTGGAGGCCAAGGTAGGTGGATCACAAGGTCAGGAGTTGGACACCAGCATGGCCAATATGGTGAAACCCCGTGTCTACTAAAAATACAAAAATTAGTTGGGTGTGGTGGCGGGTGCCTGTAGTCCCAGCTACTACTCAGGAGGCTGAGGCAGGAGAATCACTTGAACCCAGGAGGTGGCGGAGGTTGCAGTGAGCTGAGATCGCGCCATTGCACTCCAGCCTGGGAGACAGAGCGAGATTCCATCTCAAAAAAAAAAAAAAAAGGTTATGTATAACCAACACTTAAGAAATAATTCAGTGGCTTCTACATTTCACATTTTAAAAAAAGTTAAAGCTAATGAGGTTTTAAAAGATTAGGAAAGTGAATAGAGCTTCACTAGTTATATTAGTAGAATTTAAAAGGAAACCAAATATGACTGTTCCTTTTAATTAATTTTTATTTTATTTATTTAGTTTTGAAACAGGGTCTTGCTCTGCCACCCATGCTGGACTGTGGTGGTGCAATCACAGCGCACTGCAGCCTCATCCACACGGGCCCAAGTGATTTTCCCACCTCAGCCTTCTGAGTAGCTGGGACTATAAGCACCTGCCACTATGGCCAGCTAATTTTTGTATTTTTTTAGAGACGAGTTTTACCATATTGCCCAGGCTGGTCTTGCACTCCTGGGCTCAAGCATTCTGCCCACTTCACCTTCCCCAAATGCTAGAATTACAGGCGTGAACTGCCATGCCCAGCTATTTTTATTTTTTAATTGAAATAATTGTACATATTTATGGGGTACATAGTGATGTTCCAATACATACAATGTGTGGTGATCGGATCAGGGTAATTAGCATATCCTTCATCTCAAACATTTATCATTTGTTTGTGTTGGGAACATCCTCTCTTCTAGCTATCTGAAACTATATGATATATTATTGCTAACTGTAGCCATCCTACAGTGCGTTAAAACAGGGGTACTTATTCCTATTATCTGGCTGTAATTTTGTGTCTTTTTTTTTTTTGAGTCTTGCTCTGTCACCCAGGCTGGAGTGCAGTGGCGTGATCTCGGCTCAGTGCAACCTCTGCCTCTGAGGTTCAAGTGATTCTCCTGCCTCAACTTCCCGAGTTGTTGGGGCTGCAGGCACGCACCACCATGCCCGGGTCATTTTTGTATTTTTAGTAGAAACAGGGTTTCACCATGCTGGCCAAGCTGGTCTTGTACTTCTGACCTCAGGTGATCCACCCACCTCAGCCTCCCAAGGTGCTGGGATTACAGGTGTGAGCCACTGTACCTGGCAATTTTGTGTCTTTTGACAAGACAGTGTTACTTATATGCTTATGTGTTTCAATCTGAAGTCAAGTGAATCATCTGGAGTGACTCTCATTCTTTAAATTTACTTAACAAAAGATATCTGCGTGTACTTTATGTTTTGAAGAAGAATAAGAGAAAACTAAGGTACTGACTTGGATAGCAGAAGAGAATAAATATATACAATGCAGAAGACTCGTGCCTATGTCCCTGTGTACTAAATTGAATTTGGGCTATCAGTCTGTGGTATGGATGTGGTATGGATATGTAGTGAAATTCGGCTCTTCATGGTAAACATTCATGTAGAAATCCTCTTCTGTGCCTTTGCTTGTTCTTGTTTGTGGCTGTATCTGCATCACATGTGATGATGCTTTGGAGAACTCAGGGACTGCAGTTGTGCCTTATTTTTTATTCCCATTTCACCCTGGCTTCCTCCATTACAAAAAAGAGACGTATGTCCTGCCAGCAGGTGTAAGGGGGCCCACACTGATGTCTTTCTGTTCTTTACTGTTCAGCAATATGGTAGAAACATTAGTAACACATCTAAATATAGAGAGGCAGGAAGATAAACAGTTTCAAAAAACTATTTAAAAATAGTTAATCAACATGATTCCATGTCAGCCCTGTGGCATGCACCATGAGATCTCTGTGGGGCTGTGCTCTTTGGTGTCCTAATAATCCTCAAGAGGTTTTATTTAAGTGTGGGAAAAATGAGATAGAAAGAGAAACAGAAAACAGCCACATTACTCCTAAAGTGTGACCTGGTTCTGGACCCTGTTTAATTCAATTGTGTACTACTCTTACGCTTTCCTATTCATGAAGTAGTTTTAATTCCTAGAATGAATGCATACTGGATTTCTGGGATGGAATGTATTTACATGTGTTTGAATTGTTGATGGGAAGAATCCACCTCCCACCTTGGGATGTCAGCCATTTAGGGGCTTTTCTGGAATAGAGTGTCCTATTAGGAATGGATGAAGGTACTGAAGGGTTTATCTCACTAAGTGTGTCATAAGGAAAAGACACTGTTTAGCCCATTGAGCATATGAAATCCTTGCTTTCTAGCTATGGAGTGCTGCTGTGGGAACTGCTCACCGGAGAAGTCCCCTATCGGGGCATTGATGGCCTCGCCGTGGCTTATGGGGTAGCAGTCAATAAACTCACTTTGCCCATTCCATCCACCTGCCCTGAGCCGTTTGCCAAGCTCATGAAAGGTATTGTGTGTGTGTGTGTGTGTCTTTGTGGGGGCAAGAATTTCTCATTAGAATATCATTTTTTAAAAAACAGAAAAAGCATTTTCTGTGACTCTAATTTCCAAGTACTTTTAAGTAACCCTAGTATTTTAAGAATTGGAAACCTAGTCTTTGATCTGGAATGTCTGGTAAAGTTTTGAAGAACTAAGTAGCTTACCTACAATCCAGTTTTATCAGTGACTTATTTATGTATAAAACTCAACTGAAAAGTAGTAACATTTTCACTAGGTACATGAGTAGAGTTCAAATACAGTATTGAATTGGCTCCAAATCTGCTATTTTAAATTTGAATTAGTGATCAGAAATGCCTTATGGTCTTAACAGGTGTGATTTTGCCAGGATCATGTCTATTTTATCCTTATCTTTAAAAATTGTTAACTAACTCTTTTTGTAAGCCGCAAGTTGCCTTCCTTCATTGTTAGGCTATTTTTGATTTTTAGAACTTCTCATGTGGATATAACATTTTAGAGGCTTTGTTTGAGTTACATGACTCCATATCAGTAAATGATCTGGTTATGGTGGCTTAACCCCCTGAAACATGGTATCCATAGTAAAGCATGGGAAGCACACGTCCATTTATTAAATGCGGTATAATATAGACAGCAACAGCCTTCTCTAATGGTCATTATTATGCATGCCTGTGACATGGACACTATGTAAAATAAACTATTCAAACTATTACCAATGGATTCTTAAAATCTTCAGGAGCAGATACTATAAATGGAAGCTTCCAGTTTGGAATGACAAATGTTAAGTTGAAATACACTTCAGTGTAAAACATTTCTTAGCAACTCTAAACTGCGTTGAGAGATGGTATTAATGTGATTTTTGTTTATTTTAGAATGCTGGCAACAAGACCCTCATATTCGTCCATCGTTTGCCTTAATTCTCGAACAGTTGACTGCTATTGAAGGGGCAGTGATGACTGAGATGCCTCAAGAATCTTTTCATTCCATGCAAGATGACTGGAAACTAGAAATTCAACAAATGTTTGATGAGTTGAGAACAAAGGAAAAGGTGAGAGAAATTTTTAAACAGCATAATGTACTCAAATTTATGAAAACTATGGAAAATATGAGGCAAGAAGCACTGTTAGCATTATTCAAAAATATCTTTAGATATCAATATTTGTTGATTCTCACCTTCTTTCAGGTTAAAAATAAAACAAAAATAAAACAGAAGGGTACTCAATATGTATAATTGGGGAAAATACCCTTTTATTAGAGGAATTTTCAAAGTAAAAAAGAGAGAGAGAGCAAATAGCATAATGGACACTTTGTATGCATTAATCAGCTTCATTTATTGTCATTATTTTATCATTTTATTTGTCTCCCTTCCCCATTATCTCTTGGCATGCTGGCATAGAAATTAATACAAAGTATGTCATAGGCATTCCCTGAAATACAGAATGTTTTCTTAAAAATGCGATTTAAGAACGTGTCTGTTGGAGATTGTTTTGAGTTTCAGTGTTATGCCATTTTTCTTACTACATGCTGGGACAGTGCCAGAGTCCTAGAACTCAGAGATGGATGTGGTGTTTGTACCCTTGAATGATTCTTTGAATGCCAGGCTAGTGATTTGGACCTTGTTGACAAGTTTTTAAAAGGGGCTGCATATAATCTCTTGAAGCCAGACATTGAAGCAGAAGCTCCCCCGACTCCCGCTGTGCCTTCCCTCCTTCTTTCCCTTATTTGTGGTAATGGGATCACTGTTCTCCCAGGTACCCAGTCTCAAGGGTCTTTTTGCAGTGTTCCTGTGGTCTTCTGTGTGACAAAGACCATCAGTGGCAATTTTCTGCCCTAATCCCTGCCAACCTCACTCATCACCAGCATGGCTGCTGGACCATCCTTACTGGGCACTCTCTGTGCAGCCTTTCTTCCCTCATCTGTCCCCTTCTCCTTCTAAAATGCAAATCTGATCAGCCTTGTTTCCATTGCCCACTTTTTTGCCATGTTCACTCCCTTTCTCCTCACATATTTTGCCTTACATCTCCACCGCCCCTGTCCCCAGCCATACTGAATTTCTTCCAGTCCCCATGATGTCATGCTCCTGACCTGTAACCTTGGCACACGTTCTTTCCTCTGCTGAGGATCCTGTTTCCTCCCTAGCTTCTGTGCCCATTTCATGAATGGTGGCCCCTCCGTTCTCAGTCCCTGATAGCTCCCTCCCCTACTCTACTCCATCGGGTAAACTGTGGGTGATCAGAGTGTCTTGTGCTTCTCTTATCATGGCATAAGTCATACTGTATTAATACTTGCTGACGTAATTGTTCTTGATCTGTCCTTTCTGCTAGATAATAAGTTCATGAACTATGCTTTTACATTCTTCTTCATTTGCATACACAGCATTGAACATGGGACTCAGCACATGGCAGGCATTAATGAACCTAAGTACAGTTTGTTAATATATGCCTGATGTCTATTTTAATAATTGAGATAGTGGCCATTATCATTATTATTACTGTTTTAATGAGCAATTATTATTATTATTATTATTGAAAGTGAACAATGAATTTTATAGTATATACATATTATGATTCCTGTTATGAATCTTACGCTGTAATAGAGGCATATGACTCAGCTGTTCCACTTCCGCTTACAGATTCTTCAGAAACTCACACATGTGCCCAAGGAAACGTGCTTAAAGTTGTTCACTTAGGCATCATTTGTAATAGTGCAAAGCTTAAAACAACCTGAATATCCATTAACAGGGGAACAGATGCCTAACCTATTGTATTCTTACGCAATGCAAAAATGTATAGTTCAGTAAGTCCTCACTCAATGTTGTGGATAGGCTCTTGGAAACTGACTATAAATGAAATGATGTATAATGAAACCAATTTTACTATAGGCTGATTGATAGAAACAGTTAAGTTCCCACGACATATTTCTGGTTGCAAACACATCTCCAAACTTTGAAATAAAGACCAAAGCCCTTCTAATATTAAACATTGAAACAAATGTGAGCTATACGTAACATTTAAGAAAGACTAATGTCCGGGTGTGGTGGCTCACGCCTGTAATCCCAGTGCTTTGGGAGGTCGGGGCAGGTGGATCACCTGAGGTCAGGAGTTTGAGACCAGCCTTCTTCTAATCAACTTCTTCTAAAGACATTTTTTAAAGTAGACATAACCATCATTCTCAGCAAACTATTGCAAGGACAAAAAACCAAACACTGCATGTTCTCACTCATAGGTGGGAATTGAACAATGAGAACGCTTGGACACAGGAAGGGGAACATTACACACCAGGGTGTGTCATGGAGTCAGGAGAGGAGGGAGGGATAGCATTAGGAGATATACCTAATGTAAATGATGAGTTAATGGGTGCAGCACACCAACAGGGCGCATGTATACATATGTAAGAAACCTGCACGTTGTGCACATGTACCCTAGAACTTAAAGTATAATTAAAAAAAAAAGAAAAAATAAAAATAAAAATAAAAAAATAAAGTAGACATACAGGTAATTCACTCTGTCCCTTAGATTTTTCAGTATTTGGTTACATTGAAAAATGCACAACAGGTAAATGCAACGTAAGACCATGACACCACTAATGAGTACTTAGAGTTCATCAAGGAGAGGCACCAATCCCACCTGCCCTGTTCTGCTCAAACCCATGGAGTTGCGTCTGACTGCGAGCATCATGTCCTAAGGAGCCTCCTGGCATGCATGGGAGAGGATGGGGGAGCCTGGGAGTCCAAGAACAGGAAGAACACACAGCACACAAGGGGGTGGGGACTGCTGGGGCTGCCCATGCATGGGGAGGACTTTCAAGTAGGGAGAGAAGAAACCAGTTGCTTGTTATTCCAGAGTTACGCAGTAGGACTTCTGGGTGAATGCTGCAGGGATGGCAATCTGGTCTCCAAGTCAACGACTTGCTAGCACTTGGAGCTGGCTGACAGAGAAATAGACTGCTTGGGTGACTGCCTGTTTCCTTCTCCAGGACAAGACTGAATGGGAAGTCTTTATGGGATTCTGAAAAATATGATAGACCTCCCTCACCCCCCACCAGGAACTCTGAGTCAGACAGCCCTGTTGGCATTCGGGCTCTTGTGCCTGATGGGTTTTTTTTTTTTTTATACTTTAAGTTCTAGGTGTGCCTGATGGTTTTGAGGCCTCTGACTCTGTTACTCTGTACCTCCTCATCATTGGAGCCATCACTGTAACCCTGTGTCCCTCAGGGCTTGGGCGGGGCTTAAGTGAGTCCTGTATGCAAAGCAGCCAGAGCCCTACCTCTTAGTATGTGCTAAATTAAGTGTTAGTCTCAGGAAAAAAAAAGAAAGTGGTGACCTTTCACAGAAGCTGAGTTTCCCTAGCCCAGGCTTTCTTGGAAAACTGGCTGGAGCACCACTGACTGGAATAGGTTTGACATCCTGCAGTTCTGTGAAGCATTACTACCAGTGATATCATTGACATGTTTCTTGGAAACTTTTATGCACTTTGTTGACTTAAAATGATACAGGAAAGACTCTAATTTGTTTTTTTTTTTTTTAACACTTCCCCAAATTGTTTTCAGGAATTCTAAAATTAGGTGTTTAATTACAAAAATGAAAAAGATTTTGAAGAGCAGGAAAAGCGTTTGAGAAAGAAATAAAGCTTCAAATCATAGAATCTAAAATTTGGAAATGATGTTACTCACAATTAGTTACTGGCTGGGTGTGATGGCTTGCAGCTGTAGTCCCAGCACTTTGTTGGGGGCCGAGGTGAGAGGATTGCTTGAGCCTGGTAAGTTGAGGCTGCAGTGAGCTATGACTAAACTGCTGCACTCCAGCCTGGGCGACAGAGCAAGACCCTGTCTCAAAAAAAAAAATTATTATTATTGTTATTATCTGGAGACAGAGTCTCACTCTGTTACCCAGGTTGCAGTGCAGTGGTGTGGTCTCGGCTCACTGCAACCTCCACCTCCCGAGTTCAAGTGATTCTCCTGCCTCAGCCTCCCGAGTAGCTGGGATTACAGGCGCCCACCACCACACCCGGCTAATTTTTTTTGTATTTTTAGTAGAGACGGGGTTTCACCATGTTGGCCAGGCTGGTCTCAAACTCCAGATCTCAGGTGATCCTCCCACACTGGCCTCCCAAAATGCTGGGATTACAGGCATGAGCCACCAGGCCCGGCCTTATTTTAACGTATTTTAATTATTGACAACTATTTATAAAACTGGAAGATATAGGCATCTCTAGTGAGTTCATAATTATATGTTGTATTAAAATAAAAGCATGCTTCAAGGGTGGATGTCAGCTCTTTCTCTACTTTGCGATTTGTAGTAATTTATTTTTTGGTTGATTTTTGAGCTACCATGTAGTAGTGTCTATTTTTACTTTGTGTTTTATTTTTGTGCATTGTTCCTTGAAATACAGCATTTATGTTACCCTGTAAGCCTTTGGATTTACAATTAAAGAATATATAATGCTTTTTTTTGGCTTCGAAGTTTCCAGCTGCATCTTTTTTGATGAAGTAAAAAGCATAGTGTACGTGCCCTATCTCCCTTTCTTGTCCACAGATTGCTTAAGGTAGGAGGCATCAGACTTGGAATTAATGGTGAGTAACTTGGCTGTGGTCTGTGTTATTCAGTAAGCCGTAGCCTCCGTAGATACTGGGTCCTCCCTAAACTCCTGGCTCCTTATCTCTGTGTGTCTGTATTTGTGCATTTTGTGCATGCACCTGTCTGTGACCCCCCACACAGAGGCATGCCACCGTTAATGATTAACAGCCACTGCCAGGGATCTGGATTTGCCATTACCAGAGTGGCCTGTGCCAAGCAATTCAACAAATATTACTGCTAGTAATCTCATCAACCGAAAGAATGTTTTTGTGCTTCATACTTTTGAAGTATTCAAAGGGTTCTAATACCCCAGTTTTAAAATTTACTTTTGAATGTGTTCAAATTTATTCAGAAGGAAGATTACTTTTGCTGCTTTCTCTTCAATCTTATTTTTTTCTTTTCTGAAGTCTTAGGCAAGTGATTTTTTGTTTATTATTCACAAATTTGTTCACAGGGATTCATGATTTAGCTTGGGACCTGGAATTAAAAATGTTTTTTTATTCAATTACTATCGTAGCAACACACAACCTACTTGGATTTGCTGTTCTGATCGCTTTCTCATGCCATCTCATTTAACAATAGCTAATTGGATTGATATCAACATCACTGAAAAGTAATATCTTAACAAAAAGTTTTAATGAGTTAGAAATTGAAAGGTGACTGGAAATTATCCTCTGCCTCCAAATACACTATAGTAAAATGTCCAATTTGGACAAACTAGTTGAACAAAAGTCACTAGTTAAAAAATGGATTACAGATTTTTTAACATGTAACATTTTCCCCTTTTTTTCAAGTAGTAAATAATAATTTATATCTGACACGGTGTAATGAAGAAACACCCACCTGGTCTATAAATAAAAACCAACTGATAGGCATATTAGCTGAAGTGATTTAAACATCATTTGGTCTAAAATAAATCATTTCTCCTGCAGTTTTTCTTGTGAAATTTGTTTCAAGAAATAAATTTAAAGAAAGTTTCAAAACTGAATTTCAGTCCACTTTGGTTAGAATCACCCCAAATTCGTAATCAGTTTGACCTGAATAAATACATTTCTTTATTATTAGCTCTCCCTAGTCTCTTCGTGATATTGTCCCATTTATTTGTGGGAGGATGGTCTTCCTGTTTATTTTCTTTACGATAATTGTACTGATAGGCTCAGATTACTCTTTGAGTCCGTCTGTAAAAAGTCCAAGTATTAGTAGATTTGAATTGCATTCTAGTCCCTTGGTTTGGGTCTAGTTTCTTCCAGGAGCCCTAATCTTACTGTGTTTTTTCATGGATCAGAATCGTTGAGGTGGGCCTATTTAAAGTGTGGCCTGTTTATATAAAGTAGGAAATGTTTGCACAGTACTCATAGCTCTCAAAGCTCAGAGCCCAACACTCCACCTGAGAAGGCATCTGCAGTTTCCAACAAAGATTGTGGTATTAGGGTATTCTAAGATTAAGTTTATCTGGAACAGTGTAAATAAAAGCTTGCAGATGCGTTGATTTTTATGTGAGTGCTTGATTTCTTAGCAGAGTAATTTAGAATAGAAACTGGTTCAGCACTGCAAAGAATATTTATGTCTCTGGTAAAGAACAGAACACTTTATGGAAATGAAATAAAAATGGGGATATAATTTTAAAACTTTGTAGAGTCCTCAGTTTTACTGTTTAATAATTTTTCCTAATAGGAATAAAAGTATTTTTAATTCTTAGATTTTCTCTTTCTTAGAAGTTCAGTACTTCAAAAACCAAAACCAAGATGAGGTCTAACTTTAATCAGTATCATAAGAGAGGAACTTTTGTTAGCTAACTCCTGAGATGTGTAATGAAGTGATAATTTCCATGTATCAGCGGGATCTGAAAAGTTCTTTGTATACAGAATATATTTTCCTTTGGCTTGCAATTTTAGAGGTGGCTTCATTTTCATTTCCAGCAGGTCTTCAACAGACTCCTAACACCTTAGCTTGATTTTCTCCCTTACTCTCTCCACCAAGATGTTTTATTCCTTAAGCAAAGTTGTAAATACCCTAAAGAAATTCTAAGTCGTCTGAACTGCAGTCTTGTGTAACTAAAATAATTATGCTTTAATTAATTGAGCTTGAACTTTTGGCTTTATTTTGAAATGGGTCATTCACATCTGCACTTTGTTGCCCTGTGTTAATGCATATTTTATGTGTCAGGTGAGAGATGAAGAGGGAGAAATGTGAAAAACCAAGTGTAGAAAATTTATGATGCCTCTTTTAGGATCATAAAACTAACAGAGGAGACTGGCGTTTGTGCAGAGGCCTGGGCTGTCATCTAAGTGAATAATCCGCTGAAAAGGTTTCGGCTTGGATTGTCCTGACTGCAAAGACCTTCGTCCCATGAGGACCTGAGTGACCAGGGCTTGAGCAGAGGAAGAGGGAATTTCAGCTTCTCCTTGTGCACAGGAGGAGCCCGTGGCCGAGGGGTCGCCAGTGTAGTGTAATAGACGGAATTCCCTTCTTCCTGCTGGGAATGATTCCGGTGGGTGTGAATCTGTGTCGCAGGAGCTGCGATCCCGGGAAGAGGAGCTGACTCGGGCGGCTCTGCAGCAGAAGTCTCAGGAGGAGCTGCTAAAGCGGCGTGAGCAGCAGCTGGCAGAGCGCGAGATCGACGTGCTGGAGCGGGAACTTAACATTCTGATATTCCAGCTAAACCAGGAGAAGCCCAAGGTAAAGAAGAGGAAGGGCAAGTTTAAGAGAAGTCGTTTAAAGCTCAAAGATGGACATCGAATCAGTTTACCTTCAGGTATGATCTTGTTTTTATGTTTTTGAAAGATTTTTGTGTGTCCTCCTTTTAATCAGTTTTCTTTGTTCATCAGAACCAGGAAAGAGATAGGGAAGTAACTTTGTAAAACAGTGAATGAATGAGTATCTTCAGCTGTAGGCTTAGATTCATGGTTCTAATGTAATGGCCTAATGAGATTCCATGTAGGAAACAGCATTAGGAGCACGTGGTAGTCACAGCACACGAGGATCTAACCCTCAGCGTACTTTCATATTGATGGATTAACTGATTGACTCCTTTTGAAATTGAAGCAGAACCATTTTTTAGCTGAGCGTACTGAGCCAATGTCATGTGGCATTGTGAAGATGCAAAACAACGAAACTGTTAATATTTCATCATTACGTTCATTGCTTCCACAAGGATCTAGGATGTCATCTGGTATCTGGGACACTGATATTGTTGTCAGCACTTTCAATAAAATATATCAAGTACCCTGAGGTACTTTCCCATGAAGGTTTAAAATCCTTCAGACACAAAAATCACCCAGTAAATCTAGGGAAGCTTTTTTAAACATTGTGATAACAACATACAAGGATTACTAAATCATTTTAGTAATGTGTTAGGAGAAACTAAAGGGAATAGAAAATATATCAATCAATCAATACATATAGATATTATTGACTGATAATCAAAATATATCGATCAATATAGCAGACATAGCTTGATTCACTAAATTAAGTTCTTTAATATTATATATTCTACTTGTTGTAAGGAAAAAACAAATACCTCCATGGTATTTTGTGATTCTTTCTAGTACCAGAGCAGGATGATGACAGAGCAATGCAGACTTCACTTTTATAGAATCTGTATGAAATATCTCTATGTCTATGTCTATACCTGCCTATGTGTTATATGTATTATATATTAGAGTGCTCGGACGGATTCTAGTGTTTTCCTAAGATGTTTGTTAATGGCATGGTAATTTGATTTAAAGTGCAACAGTGACAGTTTTGTTTTATGTCGAGTGTGTATAAATTGCCTTATAAAATATGTATTATGAAACACTGGAAAGCTTGCAGAATCCTGTGACTAATTTAGGTTATTGCAGATGTCCTCAGTTGATCAAAAAATTGCTAGTATGACATCTGGGTGCAGTGGCTCATGCCTGTAATCGCGGCACTTTGGTTAGCTGAGGTGGGTGGATCACCTGAGGTCAGGAGTTCAAGACTACCCTGGCCAACATGGTGAAACCCCCTCCGTCTCTATGAAAAATACAAAAAGTAGCCGGGCATGGTGGCAGGTGCCTGTAATCCCAGCTACTCGGGAGGCTGAGGCGGGAGAATCACTTGAACCTGGGAGGTGGAGGTTGCAGTGACCCGAGATCACACCATTGCACTCCAGCCTGGGTGACAAGAGCGAAACTCTGTCTCAAAAAAAAAAAGAAAGAAAGAAGGCTGGGCATGGTGGCTCACGCCTGTAATCCTAGCACTTTGGGAGGCTGAAGTGGACGGGTTGCCTGAGATCTGGAGTTTGAGACCAGACTGGGCAACATGATGAAACCTTGTCTCTACTAAAATACAAAAAAAAAAAAATTAGCTGGGCACGGGGGCGGGTGCCTGTAATCCCAGCTACTTGGGAGGCTGAGGCGGGGGAATCTCTTGAACCCGGGAGCTGGAAGTTGCAGTGAGCCGAAATTGTGCCATTGCACTCCAGCCTGGGCAACAGAATGAGACTCTGTCTCAAAAAAAAAAGAGAAAAAAAGAAAGAAAAGTGCTAGTATGAGGTGGTCATCATGAGAGTCCAGTATATGTTATTGATTATTTGGTTTGATGGGGTGAGAATAGACTGTGGATCCTTATCACTTTTACCTTCAACCTCTCTGGGGTTGGGTGTTGGGGGAAGGTCCTTTTCCAGGCTCTCTTCTGATGTTTTCCTTAGCTGGAGTGTTGCTTGCAGGGTCACTGACTGGTCTGTCTTACGTGTCAGTCAGCCATAGAGAATAGACTATTTATTTATGATGAGGCTTCTGCCTTCACACATAGAGGAAAGAAAAATCCAGAGGTGCACTAGATGTGAGTTTTCTTCTCCATTTTTCAGTTATGTCAGTTTTCTTCTAGCTGTGATTTGATTGTGTTATCCAAATTAATATTTATTGTTTCCCTTGGGAAACTTTGGGGAAGGTGGAAAGGATTAAGAAGCTGATGGAAAGGGAAGTAAATTTGGGATAAAAAATGAAAATCGTTCCAATGATTCTTTCCTCTTCAGTGGTAAAATGATTAAATCAAAATCTTAGCATTCCTGAGGTCAGATTTTCAGTCTTGCTTTTCTTCTCAAATGTTCCTTGGCTAATACCCTGAGTTTATTCAAAGCAGACTGAATATTATTTGACTATTTTTACCTGAGTTGTTTTTTTAATTCCTGTATTGTATTATACAGCTTTTCTTTTCCTGAGAAGAGAGGAGAAATTTTAGTTACACATTTATTTACTTTTTGGCACTTAATGAAAGATTCCAGTTAAAACATAACCAAGAAATCTACTGCTATAATCCTGACCCATCACCAAGGAATGAAATTTGGTTTCTGGAATTTTTAGCATGACAGTTACCTCTTCTGCCCACAAGATGGCACTACATTATCATCTTAATATTAATAATACTGGTACCAATATGGAAATTTCTATTAGAATGCTCCAACCCTAAACTCACACACATGCACGCATATTTACTTGTACAATATCCTAGAATGGGACAGACATCCAAAAAGGGAAATGATAACTATAAAAATAATTATTTTTTTCTTGGAGAATTCCGCTTAGTATAGAAGAGAAAGCAAGCATGTGTAACTTAAAATCCAGGGAGTTAGTTGCATTCAATATTATCTGCTAGAAAATTCTTTAAGTTAGTATTGTTTAATAGGGGAAACAATTCAGGACATGGGCCTAGGCAAAAATTTTATGACTTAAGACTTCAAAAGCTCAGGCAACAAAAAACAAAAATAGACAATTGGGACTATATTGAACCGAAAAGCTTCTGCACAGCAAAGGAAACAATCAACAGAGTGAAGAGACCACCTGTAGAATGGGAGAAGATATTAGTCAACTATTCATCTGACAAGGGACTAGCACAGAATATACACAGAACTCGAATAACTCAATGGCAAAAACACAAATAATTTGATTTAAAATTGGACAAAGGAACTGAATAGACATTTCTCAAAAGAAGACATAAAAATGGCCAGCAAGCATATGAAAAAATGCTTAGCATCGCTAATCCTCAGGGAAATGCTAATGAAAATCACAGTGAGCTAGCTCACCTTAGTTAGAATGGCTGTTATCAAAGAGACGAAAAATAGTAAATGTTGGTGAGGATGTGGAGAAAAGGGAACTCTTACACACATTCTCTTGTAATTTTGTCTTTGAGAATTATTGCTGATCATTTTAAATCTTATGGCTATCTATAGCTAATGGAAGTGTAAGTTAGTACAGCCATTGTGGAAAACAGTATGGAGGTCTCTCAAAAAAAAAACTAAAAATAGAACTGCTGTATGATCCAGGAATTCCACTACCAGGTGTTTACTCAAAGGAAAGAAAATCTGTATATCAAAGGGATGTCTGCAATCCCATGTTTATGGCAACACTATTCACAATGACAAAGATAAGGAATCAATCTAAGTGTCCATCAATGGATGAATGAATTAAGACAATGTGGTGTGTTTACCTGATGGAACACTATTCAGCCATAAAAAAGAATAAAATTCTATCTTTTGTGGCAACGTGGATGAGCCTGGATGACATTATGTTAAGTGAAGTAAGTCAGGCACAAGAAAATAAATACTGCATGTTCTCACATATATGTGGGAGCGAAAAAAATTGGAGTCCGTGGAAATAGAGAGTAGAATTGTGGTTATTGGGGTGGGAAGGGCTTGAGGGGAGGGGAGGTTGCAGAGAGGTTAGTTAATGGATACCAAAGTACAGCTAGGTAGGAGGAATGAGTTCTGGTATTCTGCAATACTATAGGGTGAATATGGTTAACTGTAATTTATTGTATATTTTCAAAAAGCCAGAAGAGAGGATATTGAATGTTCACAACACAAAGAAATGATCAATACCCAAAGTAATACATATGCTAATTACTCTGACTTGATCATTATATATTGTAAACAAGTACCAAAATATCACTCTGTACCCCATAAATATGTATAATTTTTATGGGTCAACAAAAAGACGAAGAGAAACAAATTCTAATACTGTTAAATGGCACACTGTTCAGGGAGAAACGTGATAAGTGGTAGATGGAACAGCGATGCTGTCCTTTCATGGAGTTACCAACTTCTTGAACTCCTTTTGCAGGATTTTTCCCTATGCATAATAAGCTTAGAGAATTTCTCCGAAACATATTCTAGAGTCCTCCAAGCTGACCTTTAATATTTGTGCCTGCAGATCTTTCAAAAACTTGGTATTAAATATGAATCATTACATTCTCTTGTAACTTTGTCCTCGAGAATTACTGCTGATCGTTTTTAATCTTATGGGTATTTATAGCTATGGTGATTTAGTGATAGAAACCTCAAAAGTGATTTTTTTTTCCTCCTGGAATTTCTTCATGGCTGGCTACCAAATAAGGAAGATTAATGCTTAAAAAGTAAGACAGTAATAATCTAGGATAATAATTTTAAAACAATACTTTGTGATTATGTAGTATTTTTCTTGGAATTTGCAAGAGAAAAAAGCATGGTCACAGTGCATCTTTTTATTTTGTGAGTACTCTATATTGATTGCTCCTTCTGTTTATGTTTACTTTTAACTGAAGTTGTGTTTTTTGGACACGTTAATACAAGACAAAAGCTTTAAAGCCTCCAAAAGTTGGTATGTCACTAAAGCAGTGGCATTCTAACTTTGATTGCTTCAGAAGTGTCCAAAGCCTGCAAAAACCATCTACCTCACAGGTATGCGAGTGAGTAGAAGGGTGGATGGGAGAGAGCATATAACCTCACCTGGATTCTTTAGAGAATACATTCCTTTTCATCTGCAAATGGAAGCCTCCCACTGAGGCAATTAGCTTTGTTAGTGAAATATTCATATTGCCAGCAAAAATACTAGGATAGGTTTTACTCAAGCCTGTGATTGAACTATAGCTGCTATGACCAGGCATCTTGAGAACCATTATTCTAGTGAGTACAAAGAAAATCTGAGCACAGGCCACAGGCATTTTAACAATTCAGCTTTAGTTTTCCCAAATGTTTAGCTGGCACAGACTCAACCTTTCCCTACTTCAAAGGGACAAGGATGTTTACGATAAAGAATGTTGGCTGGGCGTGGTGGCTCATGCCTGTAATCCCAGCACTTTGAGAGGCCAAGGCAGGCAGATCACCTGAGGTCAGGAATTCGAGACCAGCCTGGCCAACATGGAGAAACCCCATCTCTATTAAAAGTACAAATATTAGATGGGCGTGGTGGCAGGCACCTGTAATCCCAGCTACTCAGGAGGCTGAAGCAGGAGAACTGTTTGAACTCAAGAGGCAAGGTTGCAGTGAGCTGAGATCTCGCCACTGCACTCCAGCCTGGGTGACAGGAGCAAGACTCCGTCTCAAAAAAAAAAAAAAAAGAATGTTTTCTTTCTGTTTACAACATAAAGTATGCTTTTCAAGTGGAAGTATTTAGGTGTTTTTGGAAGGTTGGAAGCACTCTGAATCTTAGGTGTTGTTAAAATGCAGCCTTGTATCTTTGCTGCTCTCACCCGTGGCTTTCCACGTGTTCCATGTTGGTTTCCTGATCTGTGCTTAGTATTTATTGTCCCATCATTTGTTCCAAATAACTTGTCAATCAGATCCTGTGGCTTGGTTCTTGGCTTTCTTCTGTTATTGACAGGAGGGCTCCTCTTGCTGTAAAAGTTCTCAGAGCATTTGTTTCTGTCGTGTTGTAACAATCAGGTGGCTAGCTGAACATTTATAAATGACTTTAGTCTAAACTGTTTCCTTTCTATGGTTAAGAATTTTTTTTCTTTGACCACCTCTTTCCCCCAACTACCACCACCTAGTCTAGTCAATTTTTTACCTCAACTGCTCTGCCCTGGTCAAGTCTTTCAAAAGGAATGACTTGGGGCTAGGTGCAGTGACTCACGCCTGTCATCCCAAGCACTTTCAGAGGCCAAGGCAGGTGGATTGCTTGAGCCCAGGAGTTCAAGACCAGCCTGGGCAACATGGTGAAACCCCATTTCTACAAAAATATACAAAAATTAGCTGGGCATAGTGGTGCATGCCTGTAGTACCAGCTACTCAGAAGGCTGAGACAGGAAAATTGCTTGAGCCAGGGGAGGTCAAGGCTGCAGTGGACTGAGATTGCACCACTGCACTCCAGCCTGGATAACAGAGTAAAATCTTGTCTTTAAAAAAAAAAAAGTATGACTCAGCAGATGGAGGAGCCTCCCATTTGGTCTTTCCTTTCCGTTTGGTTTGTCTTCCAAATCTCCTCCAGCCTGCTGTGTATTCCTCAGCAACTCACTTCAAGCACCAGCCTGATCCTGTAGATGAACCCTGCATAACTTTCTCCGTCAACAAACACCTGAGGATCTGCTGTGTCCCCAGTACTAGGGGTGATTATAAAACATATATGCAGTCTCTGCACTCATGTTTCCCACAGAGAAAGTACTCATTCAGCAAAGTTTTCTAAGTACCTGTAATGTGCAAGGCACTGTGCCAGTCTGAAGTCATGGAGACTGTCATGGTCACTGCCCATAGAGCACTTACCTTATATTGAGGGAGGGGGCAGAACTTAAGCTAATAATTCAATACTTATTTGCTTCTATAATCATTAGCTGCTGTGAGGGAAAAGTCACATGACAGTGACTAGTGCAGAGATGTAACCTGGTCTAAGGTGATCATAGAAGGCTTCCTAACGGAGTTCGAAACCAGCCTGGGCAACACGGTGAAACCCCGTCTCTAGTAAAATACAAAAAAAAAAAAAAAAAAAATTAGCCAGGTGTGGTGGTGTGCGCCTGTAATCTCAGCTACTCAGGAGGGTGAGGCAGGAGGATTGCTTGAACCCGGGAGGTGGAGGTTGCAGTGCACTGAGATCGCACCATTGCATTCCAGCCTGGGTGACAGAGCAAGACTCCATCTCCAAAAAAAGAAGTAACATTTAAATTGAGACGTGATATGGGAATTTACCAAATACAGAAGATGAAGAAAGAGAATAGGCTGAGAGCACATGTGGAGGAAACTTGGTTTCTTCCAGGAATTGAAAAAAGTTCAGTGTGGTTTGAACAGGGTTCAGCACACTGCCCTATGGGCCCAATCCCGCCTCTACCCGCTTTGTACAGCCATGAGCTCAGAATGGTTTTTACACTTTTAAATGCTTGAAAAAAATCAAAGAGGAAGAAGAATACTTCATTGCACCTGACATGATATGAAACTGATATGAAATTTCAATATCCATAAAGATCATTTTACTGGGACACATTCATCTTTGTGTTGACTGTGGCTGCTTTCTCTCACATCAGCAGAGTCAGGCAGTTGTTACAGAGACTGTGTGGCTCACAGAGCCTAAAATGGGGCATTTTGCAGAAGAAGTGAGCTGACCCCTCTTCCAGGCTGTGACGAGTGAGAGGAGAATAGGGCAAGATGAGGCTGGAGCAGAAAGAAGAACTCAGGCTCAGGTTTGCAGGGACTTCCAGAATGTGTTACAGTTTTAATCTGTAACTTAAGAATCATGAGAGGCCTTTGAAGGATTTTAAGCAGGGGAATGACATGTCAGTCAGGCATATTAAAAATGCATCTGGCTGCTGTGAAGTGGACTTGGGGGGCCAAATGTGGATGCAGGAAGATGGACACAAGGCATTGTAGCAGGCTAGGGATGACATGGTGATTGGCCGTGCAGATGGAGAGAACAAAAGGAAAAAAACATTTATTGAGCATTTATTATGTCCCAACCCCTGTGGTAAGTACTTTTTATACTTCTTTGCACTGAATTTTTCATAGCAGTCCTGTGAAATAGGAATAATTAGTTCTTTTCCATTTTTGTCAGTAAAGATACTGAGACTTCAAGACCTTAAGTTACTTTCTTGAAATTCATATGGCTGTGGTAGAAATGGGATTCAGATCTAAGTTTGCTAACTCCATAACCTGGAATATAAATTTCTCTACTGCAGAAAAATATATAGCACAGAATTTACCTGATATTTTGTGCTTGGTGGATATGTAGGGTAACAGAAAAGACAATATCAAGAAAAGTATTCAGATTTCTAGTATGAATAATTGGATAGCTGTCCTTGCCTACCAACTTCCAAATCCTCTTCATCTCAAATAGCAGTTCATTCATTAAAGTTCTTTAAAGTATAACTTCCAAAAAGGTAAGTTATAGGTCTCTTGCAAATATGAAATGAACATATGTCAAAGATTTTTATTAAACTCATTAATCGTTGAGGAATCAGGTAGAACCAGTTCAAATGAGAATTTGAGGAGTGAGATATTTATGGGCAAATTAATAGAGGAATGCAGGATTAGATTGCTGGGTTAAACGCAGACCTGGTTGATGTCTAATATGGCAATGAACCATTTGGGATTGTCTTTTTCTCCAGACGGAAGTTATTTGCATCATCACCAGACAAAATCTACAAGTTAACCTCTGCTCTTACCTAGTTATAAAAATAACTCAGTCCATAGAAAAGCAATCAATCAAAGCTTAAGCTCAGCTCTGCACTGAAAGAATATCCAGTAATGTCTTTTACCTCCTTCCAAGTTGTTAATGATTTTCCTGATAGTTTATAAAGTTTCCCCAGACACACCCCTCTTTCCTCTGGTAATATTGCTTTCTCTTCCATATGAACCTATAGATCTTGGTATATCTCTACCATATTACAGTTAGATAATAAGAGCCAGCATTTGTAGAATGCCTAGAGCACAAAATGCTTTTAATTTACATTTTCTGTTTTATTCAACACCACGACCACCATGTGAAATATTGTTGTTCACTTTAGCAGGTGAAGAAACAGGCTCAGAGCAGTTCCTTACTGGTTTGAGGTCCATAGCGTGTTATGTTATGAGAACCAGGACTCATTTAAATCCAGGGCCATTTCAATTTAATTTTATTTATTTATTTGTGTATTTATTTGAGACAGAGTCTCACTCTGTTGCCCAGGCTGGAGTGCAGTGGCACAATCTCAGCTCACTGTACCCTCCACCTCCCAGGTTCAAGTGATTCTCCTGTCTCAGCCTTCCGAGTAGCTGGGATTACAGATGTGTGCCACCATGCCGGCTAATTTTTGTGTTTTTAGTAGAGATGGGGTTTTGCCATGTTGGCCAGGCTGGTCTCGAACTTCTAGCCTCAAGTGATCTGCCCACCTCAGCCTCCCAAAGTATTGGGATTTCAGGCATGAGCCACCGTGTTCAGACTTAATTTTAACTATCTCAGACTGAATGCAGATAACTCTTTTTTCCCAGGTTATAAATTCTTCAATGATTCGTGGCTTTCATATTTTCCTTTGTGTGTGTGTGTGTGTGTGTGTGTGTGTGTGTGTATGTGTGTGACTATATCCAACATATAAGCTCTGATTCATTATTTGTGTGACTATATCCAACATATAAGCTCAGAATCATTATTTATTGACCTGAACCCCGAGAAGTAAGAAACCAAAATAAGAAATCGATCCTGCAATATTCTTTGCAGTTAGGGTCTGACCATTTTTGTTTTTATTGCTGTGTGCTAAATACATGGCTATGAAGATAAAGGAAAACCATGAAATACCAGTTCTCCCTTTTTGCCTCCAACAGATTTCCAGCACAAGATAACCGTGCAGGCCTCTCCCAACTTGGACAAACGGCGGAGCCTGAACAGCAGCAGTTCCAGTCCCCCGAGCAGCCCCACAATGATGCCCCGACTCCGAGCCATACAGTGTGAGCTTTCTGCACTGCCACGGGGGCTCCTGTGTTGACTTCTCTCCTTTCACTTGACTTGGATTCAAATTGAGCAGATGTGTTTTCATAGCAGGTTGTAGATGAGTGTAGGACATTTCGTAGGTGCCACAACTATTTGAGAAACAAAACTTGAGCATAGGTTCCTTAGTCTAATTTTCTTCTACTCACAAAAAATGAATTTTAGATGCTATGCAGTTGGTGATGCGACCTGGCCCCGGAGTAGAAAGTGAAACACCACATCTCGAGACATTCTGTTAAACACTTGCACGCAACGTTAGCATAACCTAATTCTATCATCAGCCATTTGTGTCAGGGTACTTTGAAAAATGAAATCAGGAATTCAGGATTACTTCTGTTTCTTTCTTTGTTTCGTGAGGGGAAAAAATTTTTGCTTTTCAGGATTTAACTTTAATTCACTTTAGGTTTGACCAACCTAATACTTAAAAATTCCTTGTAGTGTTTTGGTTTTAGAACAAGCATTCATCCTGGAGGAGACAGTACAGACAGCTGATTCGCCTGGCACCTTTGCATTGTGAGAGTTTCAGTTAGGCTATGAATCAGAATGTAGCGGATGAAATAAAATTACTAATTTTTTTCAAAGGTGAGTCCAGATAAACCCCTAAAAGTAGGCTAAGCGAAAGAAGAATGTGATTAATGCGTATGTCTGTAAGTAATGTGGTAATTAGCCTAAGTCTGTGGTAAACCATTCATTTGGATCCTCTCCTTCCTCCACCAAACTTAATTCCCTGCTGTTTACTCATCCTTATTTGGAGAAAAAAAAAATCCAAAAGAAAATTTTGTCTAATGAGGCTTGCATGGAATCTCATTTTTTTTTCCTCTTTTGATAATGAAAACCTTGGCACCAGCAGAGATTTCTTTTGCAAGTTCTCGGACACCAGGATCCCCACAGAGAAACTGGATCTAAATGAGGCTGTAGTTTTAGAGCTTAAAGGACTGTCATTTATTATAACTGATTTGGTTTTCTGAGAATGCATTTTGCATAAAACCGTACCTCAAACCTTGCCTTTGCCTAGGCAAAGGCCTAATTAACGGAGAGAGAAAGGGTCCCAGGCTGGTCTCCCAGCTCCACGAAGGGATGAGCAGATGGGACACCGTGCCACCCCTGCTTTTGCCTGGCCACTCCTCTGCCCTCTTTCCTGTGTCTTCACCTTCTGCTCTGGGGAAAACCACCTCACAGAAGCCAGGAAGTGGTACTGGGAAGGCCTGGCTGGGCCCAAGATGTGTACCAGTTAAAGTAAATAATTTGGGACTTCAAATGAATTCCAACCCTCCAAAGTTGAAATGCAGCCAGCTTAGGGAGGCGCATCCTTGGCGCTCCTTCTCAGAAGTAACATGGTGGAAAGGTTCTAATCGAGACAGTCCACACAGGGCCAGCTTTGTGTGTGGCAGCTGTTGGCTCAAGTTCTCCAGCCTGGATGTTGCTCATCTTCATTGTGACCCTGGGTGCTCCAAGAATGCCTCTTGTCTTCATGTGTGTGCACACCCCCATTCAATTCTGACAGCCTCATTGAGTGGACCCTTTTATGATCCCCAAATGCGGGACAGAGAAGTTACCATTAAGCTGACCCAAGTTGGTAGCTACTAACTGGTGAAGCTGGATTCAGACACATCTGAGTGTAGATTTCACCATCCGTTTCCGGCCTCTTAGTACAGGAAAAGTTCAATCAATGTGGAAACAAAAGAGAAACCAGAGGAGCAAATCAAGAGGGGAAGGAAAGTAGGAAGGGACGAAGGTGAGGAGACTAAAGCCGAGAGTGTAGATAGCTCTGGGAGTGTAGATCAGTCAGTCAGTCATATAGCCGAGATGAACTTGGGTCTAATAACCCCCAGCTGAAAGCTTTTCCGGTTCTGCTGCCCTCACTTAAATGAAAACTGCTGATCCGTTTATCTGTCATTCTACTGTAAAACTCTTTTAATAAAAAGAATGAACAGCTGATTCAAGATTGTTACACATGCACACTTACATTTAGGCATGCATCTACATTTTTTTTTTTTTGAAATGGAGTCTCACTCTGTTGCCTAGGCTGGAGTGGTGCCATCTCGGCTCACTGCAACCTCCGCCTCCTGGGTTCAAGTGATTCTCCTGCCTCAGCCTCCCGAGTGGCTGGGATTACAGGTGCCCGCCACCACGCCCGGCTAATTTTTGTATTTTTAGTAAAGACGGAGTTTCACCACCTTGGCCAGGCTGGTCTTGAACTCCTGACCTCATGATCCACCCGCCTTGGCCTCCTGAAGTGCTGGGATTACAGGCGTGAGCCATCGCACCCGGCCTAAGCACATTTATATGCACAGACACGTGTATATACACACATATATGTGTATTTTAAAATTTGGAAAATATTGAAACACATGTAAGTAACCAAACATCATCCACAATGTGTCCAATTTTACAAAGTGATATAAAGGAGTTAAATTTCCCTCTACATAGCAATCCTCTCTATTAAATTTAAACACTTTAGTAAGTTTGGTATCTGTGTTTAGTAACTTCTCCTCTGTGTATGTATGTGTGTATATACAGGCATCTATAAACACATAATTTTTAATGAAAATGTATTTATTATATGTAATATTAAATATAATATAAACATTATGTATCATCTGTACCTCATTTTTATTATGGTCACAGAGTATTCCATTGTATATCATAATATTTCAAACTGTTTTTAGAACATCTAGTATGTTTCAGATATTTTTCCCCTAAGTGTGTAGTAATAATAGCAATTTTCCCCAGTGATTTCCAAATCCCTTTTTTTTGTTGAAACGGAGTCTTGCACTGTCACCTGGGCTGGAGTGTAGTGGCGCGATCTCGGATCACTGCAACTTCTGCCACCTGGGTTCAAGCAATTCTCCTGCCTCAGCCTCCTGAGTAGCTGGGATTACAGGCGCCCGCCACCATGCCCAGTTAATTTTTTTGTATTTTTAGTGGAGACCGGGTTTCACCATGTTGGCCAGGCTGGTCTCGAAGTCCTGACCTTGTGTTTTGCCCGCCTCGGCCTCCCAAACTGCTGGGATTACAGGCGTGAGCCATGGCGCCTGGCCCCAAATCACTTTCAAGTGCACTTAAATTAGAGGGACAGCATCTAAGTGTTTAGCAAAATGTGGATATTAAAGAGGAATATACATCGTCCTGTGAGGTAGTGAAAAAAGCAAGACATGGAAAACTGTTAAATATTTTCAAGTTTTAAAAGGCAACCGTAACCAAAGTGTTGTCATGACTGAGCAAAATTGTGATGACCAAAAAATAAAGAAAGAAATAAATTGTGACGACTTATGAAAAATTAGTTGAAATTACAATTTAAAAATATATGATGTTTGTGCCTCTAGGTCAAAACTTTAACTGATTTGGTTAAAAAATTAGAGTACTAAGTTCATTTTAAGTTACATGTTTAGTTTGGTGATTTCCCTCCCAATTACAATGAAATCCTAATTGTTGCAAAATGCTAAATAAATAGATTAAAAAGTAATCAAATCTTTGCTGCTAATTTACCTCGAATTTGTATCTTTTCTGTTAACTTACTCCATTTTTCTTGATGTTTTTATGATCAGAGAAAGAAACTTACCAGAGATTGGGTGAAATAAATAATTTTCTCATTGTTTTCATGTTTTGAGTAAGGTAGTTTCACAACTGATATGATTCATTTAGCTTTTTTAACAAAGCCAATATTGGTTAATATGATTGTTGTGGTTAATATGGTTAATAATGTTCTTTTTAGTGACTTCAGATGAAAGCAATAAAACTTGGGGAAGGAACACAGTCTTTCGACAAGAAGAATTTGAGGATGTAAAAAGGAATTTTAAGAAAAAAGGTTGTACCTGGGGACCAAATTCCATTCAAATGAAAGATAGAACAGATTGCAAAGAAAGGTACGTGTGTGGTATCTGGTGGTATTCATTGTGTAATATGACAAATCCATTCCTGTGTTAATATCACATCAGCCAGACTTTCAAAAAGCAAGTAAATTAATAGAGAGATTTATAAATATCAACAATTTTCTAGGATGAATTTATCATGCTAAATTAACTATTATTTAGTTAAGCAGTTAGAATATTTCTGAGATTTTTCCTGTCTCACTTTCAGGTATTATTTGTACTTTGTCAGCCCTTCAAAACTGAGTACAAATGTGTTCTCTTTACTACCTTAAAAATATTGTTGGTCTGTATCCACCAAAACCTAATTGGTGTGTTGTGTGCTTCTATCTTATGAAAAGAAACATTTTTCTCTTGTAGGATAAGACCTCTCTCCGATGGCAACAGTCCTTGGTCAACTATCTTAATAAAAAATCAGAAAACCATGCCCTTGGCTTCATTGTTTGTGGACCAGCCAGGTAAATGTGTTTCAGGAGGTAGGATTTGCTTGAGCAGTCCTTGGCATCTGATTGTGCTGAAGCTTTGCTTTTACAGTCTTACGTGGTCATTAAAGTAGCAGAGGGGAGATTAGCAAGTAATGGCATTTCTTATAGCTTTACTTAAATTCAGAAGTTATTTTCCGTCAAGTATTTATGGCAGGAAGTAATTAGGCTTCACGTGGTTTTGGGAATTTGTAACTCTTCTTCCTTACCAGAAACATTATTATCACAATTAATTATGTAAAACCAAATCAATTTAGTATGGGAAATATTAGATGTAAAAATATAGACCCCCCTGAAAGTTCTGCTGAGATTAAGGGGTATGGCTTCTTGCTATAGTGCCACCTGTTGACATGAGGAAATCCAATGAAACAGGTTAACTATGAAAAACACAAAAACTAGCCGGCATGGTGGTGCTTGCTTGTAATCCCAGCTACTCAGGAGGCTGAGGCAAGAGAATCACTTGCACCTGGGAGCCAGAGGTGGCAGTGAGCCAAGATTGTGCCACTGCATGCCAGCCTGGACAATAGAGTGAATGAGACTCTATCTCTAGATAAATAAATAAATAAATAAATAAGAAAAATGACTCCTTGGAGAGTTTTACACTGGAATTTCTATTTAATTTAAATGAATCATAATGATTTACTTTCAATATTCTATATTTGTATTCAGTATTCAGTATTAAAAGATTGAAGAGATGGAAATCGTTGAAAAACTTCAAGCACGGTTACTAACACAGAAAATAAAATTGGTCTTTATACTTGACCATTTAGGCAGACTCTTTGGTACTTTGATCAAATTAAAGATGCCTTAGCAAGACACAATGTAAATGTATTGAATTTGTTATTGGTACTGTGCTCAATTTCACAAGCACCTTTGCACTCACTACCTGGGTTCAGCTTCTCCTTCTGAAGGTTCTCCTTTATGAAGGAAAAGGGAGCTTGGGTCAGCAACGTCAGGGAGTGGAAGGAAAAAGAGGGTACCCCAAACAAAAGGCACCACAGGGAAGAGCACAGGGTTCTTTGGAGAAAGAAAGCTGGCACCCCAAATTGTCTACATCAGCAGTCCCCAACCTTTATGGCACCAGAGACCAGTTTCATGGAAGACAGTTTTTCCATGGACCAGTGGGGTAGGGATGGTTTCAGGATGATCCAAGCGCATTACATTTGTTGTGCACTTTATTATTATTACATTGTAATTCATAATGAAATAATTCTACAACTCACCATAATGTAGAATCAGTGGGAGCCCTGAGCTTGTTTTCCTACAACTAGATGGTCCCATCTGGGAGTGATGGGAGACAGCAACAGATCATCAGATCCTAGATTCTCATAAGGAGCAACCTAGATCCCTTGTATGTGCAGTTCACAATGGGGTTCATGCTCCTATGAGAATCTAATGCTTCTGCTGAACTGACACAGGGCGGAGCTCAGGTGGTAATGTGAGCAATGGGCACTGGCTGTAAATGCAAAAGAAGCTTCACTCGCCCACCTGCTGCTCACTTCCTGCTGTGCAGCCTGGTTCCTAACAGGCCACGGTATCAGTCCATGGCCTGGGGTTCAGGGACCCCTGGTCTAGATCATCAAGCATGTTTAGGTATACTAGGATGTAGTGTTGGAAAAAATTAGAGATGTTATTTGGAAATCAGATTAATGAGTTTGTTGTTTAATTATGCGCTGTCACTTTTGTGATAAGAATGTTAGCTTCCTCTTAAGCGGGTATAATTTGTAACCTTTGGGATTCTGTAACCTCTTGGGAGAATCTTCTATTTTAATGGTCCCCAAACTTCAGTAAAGGCTAGCTGAAACACAGACTGCTGGACTCCACTCTTCAGAATTTCTGATTCCATAGTCTGGGGTGGGCCAATAATTTACATTTCTACAAATTCCCAGGGGATGCAGATGCTGCCAGTCCAGGCCACACACTTTGAGAACTGCTGATCTGCTACAGAACAGTTAGTTTATACACAGGAAAGCTGTAGATAATGGAGCCTGATGCATGTATTTAGGTGAAGTGAGGAAAAGAGCACATTTGGTGACATATTTAGTGATTTTGTGCCTATGGTTGTGCGTTTTTGTGTTTTGATGACTGTTTCTACAATAGTGTCTATTATTGAAGCTGATGAAGAACAGCTTCCCGAAGCATAGGAAACAGCAGATGGCTAGCTTGCTGGTTCATCTGCAGGGAACCTGAAGTTGTAGGGCCCTAGACTCTTGCTCCATGGAGCCCTCCTGGATGAATCATTTGCAGAAATGAAAAGGGCTGCATGTGTTTTGATTTAAAATATGTATTTATTATATTTTAGCTTTATTTTACAATCTTGTTTAAATGACTTTTGCTGTAAAATGATACTACAGTGTATGTACTTATACCTTTATTTAGGGTCCTGTGAAGAGCCAAAACTTTCCCCTGATGGATTAGAACACAGAAAACCAAAACAAATAAAATTGCCTAGTCAGGCCTACATTGATCTACCTCTTGGGAAAGATGCTCAGAGAGAGAATCCTGCAGAAGCTGAAAGCTGGGAGGAGGCAGCCTCTGCGAATGCTGCCACAGTCTCCATTGAGATGACTCCTACGAATAGTCTGAGTAGATCCCCCCAGAGAAAGAAAACGGAGTCAGCTCTGTATGGGTGCACCGTCCTTCTGGCATCGGTGGCTCTGGGACTGGACCTCAGAGAGCTTCATAAAGCACAGGCTGCTGAAGAACCGTTGCCCAAGGAAGAGAAGAAGAAACGAGAGGGAATCTTCCAGCGGGCTTCCAAGTCCCGCAGAAGCGCCAGTCCTCCCACAAGCCTGCCATCCACCTGTGGGGAGGCCAGCAGCCCACCCTCCCTGCCACTGTCAAGTGCCCTGGGCATCCTCTCCACACCTTCTTTCTCCACAAAGTGCCTGCTGCAGATGGACAGTGAAGATCCACTGGTGGACAGTGCACCTGTCACTTGTGACTCTGAGATGCTCACTCCGGATTTTTGTCCCACTGCCCCAGGAAGTGGTCGTGAGCCAGCCCTCATGCCAAGACTTGACACTGATTGTAGTGTATCAAGAAACTTGCCGTCTTCCTTCCTACAGCAGACATGTGGGAATGTACCTTACTGTGCTTCTTCAAAACATAGACCGTCACATCACAGACGGACCATGTCTGATGGAAATCCGACCCCAAGTAGGTTGCATTAATTAGGTAAAAGCATAAAACACTGCTGTAGAGATTAGTATGTGAAACAGTATGGATTTATGATTTTATCTTTTCCTGGTGATGACATTTAATAATTTGTTTTTACTGTTCATGTAGATCTTTGAACCTTACCCTTCTCTTATTTGATTTTAACTATGATTTGGATTCTGGGAAAAGTGTAATTGAATTTCAGTAACTGAAACCTATAATAGCATATCAAAGCAGAAAGAACACATGGAGAATAACCACCCAGCCCCCTCACGTTACGGGAAAGACAAGCCAGCTGCCCCAGTTAGAACCACGGATGAGTGGGAGGGCTGGAACTGAAACTGGCCTCTCGCCTCCCTGCGGGCCTTGTCTCCTCCACTGCTGTACATGTCATTGTTCTGTTTCTGTTGGGACTGTGTGTAGCAGGTGATCAGCCTGCTAGGGCTGCCATAACAGAGTGCCACAGCATGGAGAGATGTTCAGCACAAACTCATTGTCCAGCAGTTCCAGAGGCTGGAAGTCAGATCAAGGTGTCTGAAGGGTTGGTTCCTTCTGAGCTCAGCCTGGCTCCTTGACTTCTAGACGGCCGTTTTCTCCCTGTGTTCTCACACAGTCTTCACTCTGAGTGCATCTGTGTCCTAATCATCTGTGTCCTAATCTCTTTTTAGGACATCAGTCACATTGGATTAGGGCCCACCCTAATGACCTCATTTTACCTTAATCACCTCTGTACAGACCCTATTCCACATACAGTGACATCTGAGGGACAGAGGGTTAGGGCTTCTGCTTAGGAATTTTGTGGGGACACAGTTCACCCCATGACAGCAAGTATTACCCTGTTGATGTATGTTATACCAGACAGTTCCATGAGGTTTATGTCCAGATGTGGAATCTCTGAAAGAAAAGAAAATCAAATTTTTAAATAGTTTTTTAGTCTATTCAACAAGAGGGGCTTGGGCAGAAGGCAACCAGTGGTATTTCCACAGCACTTTATAGATGTTAAAGCACTTGGACATAAATTGTCTCTTAGTTTTTATGGCAACTCTATTATATGCAAGAGAATTCAAACTTACGGAAAATTAATGTTATTCAAGGTCACACAATTAGGAAGTAGTGGTGTCAGAATTTAAACCCGGGATCCTTCTGCTGTATCACAGTGTCTCACTCCTCCTCACTGCGGTATTTTTTCCATTCCTAAAATTCAGTGAGTATTGATGTGACTGGATCATGCTATCATGTGCTAGAATGTACTCAGCTTTGAGATTTCTGGGGTTAAGTGGCACTGAAATACTGACATTTGAGGAGATAATATGGGTACTTTGGAAGAATGGGGGATTTTGAGTCATAGAACAAAGGTTCAAGTTCTAGTTGTACTATTTGGTAAGTTTGTGATGCTGGGGAAATTACGTAGACTGCTTTCTTGTTTGAATGTCTTAAAAAGCATTGTAGTGTCATGGTTAATAGTATGGAAGCTAGCTGGGCTCATATCTCTGCTTATATGCTGAGTGAATTTGGGCGAATCACTTAAACATTTTGTGCCTCAGTTTCTTCATCTATAAAATGGGGACAGTAACAATATACATACCTAATACTATACTTACCTAATCTGTACAATTGAGATCGTGGTAAAAGTCAGATGGCACACTAAGTGCTCTGTAGAGCTTGAGTATTATTTATTTTGTATGTGAACATAATTGCAATAACCTTATATACCTGTCATGAATATTAAGTGAGGTAATATATACAAAAAATGCTTTCTAAATTGTAAAATGCTATGCTAGCATTGGTTATAAAGCTATATTAAGACAAACTGCTTTCATCCTTTTTATCTTTTCCTTTACTTCTTTTTAAATATTATATCTGGATATGATATTTTCTATATTATTGTTCATTGCCTTTAGATAAATTGGTTTATTATCTTTCTGTAGGTCAATAAGTATTGGTAATTTATAATTGCACAAGGAGAAATTCTAGCACAGTAATCCCATATGAAAGCATATTTTTCTCTAACTTATAAGCCAATAATTATTTGCTAAAGTGGTAATAACATTATTCAGTTCTTCAGTACAAACAAGAAAAGAGGTGACGTGTAAAAGTCTAACTGCTTTTCCATTTTCATCAGTTTTGTCAAATCATAATCTACAGTGAAGTTTAATCATGTTGACCATCATTTTTAAACCTCTTAAATTTATTCCAGTCTAGTCCATTTTGAAAGCTACCGTTATAATATCATTATAATGACTCATAATTTTTATTGGCCTAAGCACTGTGAGGATTATTTAGCTCTGTTTACAAATATAATTTCCATAGGTTGAAGTACTCTTTGCAAACTTGCAGGACTTCAGCCAGGTGTGGTGGCACATGCCTGTGGTCCCAGCTACTCTAGAGGCTAAGGCAGAGTTCCTTGGTCCTTAAGGCCAAGAGTTCGAGGCTGCAGTGTGCTATGATCATGCCTGTGAATGCATGTTTTTTGTTGAAGCTCATTTTAAAGCTATCACTTTGTTGAATTGCCATCATAATTATTTTTCTTGATATTCATTGTTTTAGAACTCATTTTCTTTCTAACTGCATACTGTTTTGGCTTTCTCAACCAGCTGGTGCAACTATTATCTCAGCCACTGGAGCCTCTGCACTGCCACTCTGCCCCTCACCTGCTCCTCACAGTCATCTGCCAAGGGAGGTCTCACCCAAGAAGCACAGCACTGTCCACATCGTGCCTCAGCGTCGCCCTGCCTCCCTGAGAAGCCGCTCAGATCTGCCTCAGGCTTACCCACAGACAGCAGTGTCTCAGCTGGCACAGACTGCCTGTGTAGTGGGTCGCCCAGGACCACATCCCACCCAATTCCTCGCTGCCAAGGAGAGAACTAAATCCCATGTGCCTTCATTACTGGATGCTGACGTGGAAGGTCAGAGCAGGGACTACACTGTGCCACTGTGCAGAATGAGGAGCAAAACCAGCCGGCCATCTATATATGAACTGGAGAAAGAATTCCTGTCTTAAACTAAGTGCCTTACTGTTGTTTAAGCATTTTTTTAAGGTGAACAAATGAACACAATGTATCTACCTTTGAACTGTTTCATGCTGCTGTGTTTTCAAAAGCTGTGGCCATGTTCCTAAATTAGTAAGATATATCCAGCTTCTCAAAAAATGTATATGATTGCTGTTAGCCATGTCTATTGTTTTTCCTCTGGATTCTTTTCTTATAACTTGGAATACACAAAAGTGTAAAACAAGAGATGTGCACCAATGAAAACTATGCTGGGTCGAATTACCTTCAGCACAATGTTAATGTTTTTGTTCTCATTTATGCCTTTGTCCATTTGCACACAACAGAAATTGTAATGAGCTTCACTATTTTTGTTTCTTTCCTTCCTTTTTTTTCTTTTTTCCTTTCTTTCCTTTTTCTTGTCTTGTTTCTTGTTTTTTTTTCTTGTAGTTTCTTTTCTTAATTGTCATTTTTGCAACAAAAAGCCAAGAAAGAGCTTTAGTTTCTTGGCAAGAATAATGTGATATTAGTAAGTAAAGGTCTTAAAAGTCTGACGACTGGAATAGATATAAAGTCCTGTTTAAACTACCTAACCTTGGCTGTGGGCCGATAATGCATATGTCCAGTTCTCACTTAAATTATGCAATGATATTTCTCTCTGAGGAAATTATACGGAATGTAACTTATAAAAGCTTTACTGAATATAAGTTATAAGCATTTTATTCATTAGAACTCCAAAATAGATGTTCAAAGTTCAGTCCTTGCCATTTGACTGAGACCACATGGTGTGCCCCTTGAGTGAGGCTAATCTTTAGGTTTTTCCTATAGAAAACATTCTTCCTCCATCAGTAGCCCTTTATTTGATATTCAGAAGTGGAAAGCTTTTTCATTCTCCAGTAGAACTTTTAAAAATTGTTACAGATACCTAGCTCTTCACAGATATCATGTACTGTAAACAGTCATGTGTCTTAATTTTATTTTCTCTATTTGAGTGCATAATTATCCTAATAATCCCAAAGACACTGACAACTCAAGGAACAGCAGTACAGTACTATTAGAAGTTAAGTATGTTGTTGTTATTTCACATTTCATTTAATTGTGGATAAATGTTAGACATCTGTTGAAATAAGCTCATATGGTGGAAACGACAACTATATTATGAATTATTTTCAGAAATGGATCTTTGAATAGCAGATCAGGATTTAAATAATAAAATTATCTATGAATCACTTTTATGGTCATACATATATGATACAAATCCAGAGTTATTGGTGCAGAAATGGCTACCCGAGAGCTTGGTAAATTTGCCTTGGTTTCTTATGTTAAATGTATTGTGCTTCCCTTCTGTCTCTAGAATGTGGCTCTTCAGAAGACAGACAATCGACATTTAAATTTTTCCAAACAATGAAAAACTAAATTAAAAACATTGCTTGATATTTCATTTAAAATTGCACCTTGCTTAAGGTTTACTGAATAACTGAAATGTCAGCAATTTAAAATAAATTCAATTGTGTGATAAAATATCTCACCTATAATAGAAGAAAAGGAAAATCATATTATTTGGCAATTTTGCAGCATTGTGGTTGCCTAACAGGTATATCCAGCAGATGAGAAACAGTATGAAAGGATTGTATTAACATGGTAAGTTTTGCCCTAAGGAAAACGATCTTGCATTCTGGATTCTTGCAGCAAAGTCTCAGATACTTAATACGTTTTCTTGTTTTATCATCTGTTCTATGATTCGGCTTCACTTTGTGTGGTTATTGAATTATGTAACAGAGATTTGGTTTTCCCAAAATGTTATCACATTTGAAACTATGATTGCTTTGTGTTCAGTCCTTTTGGAACACGTAGCTTCCAGCTTAAGGGTAGAGAAATATATACCTAAAATCATCAATACATGAAAGAAAAAGGATGGAAACTATGTCCTCAGTTTTACTTCTACCAAAACATCCCTGTATGTGTGTGCATGTATGTTGGCGTGTGTGTGTGTGCATGCATATTAGTAAATGTGTGTTTGCATGTGTGTGTTGGGGAGTGTATGTGATCTGGGTGTTTGTTTATCTCTGTTATTATTCCCCTTTAGCTTTATTTTAGTCAACTCTACATTATGATGAATTTCAAAATGAAGCTGTATTAAAATAATTGTAATATAACAATTCAATCTCACATGTTACTGCAGATAGTTAACTTTTGCTGCAATCTATTGTACATTTGCAATTTTCTGTGTTAGTAAACTTAGCAGAATCTGGTTATTTATTTTTGTGTAGGCTTAATGTTCACTGAAAGATAAGTCAATTACTGTTAGTAAAAAATTAAGGTACTCTCACTGCAGAGATTTAAGGCCTGGGCCTAATGTGCTGTATTATGAAGCCTTGTGACTGAAAAATATGTTTACATATGTTGTCTATTTTTTTAATAAACTTTTATAGCTGGTCTATTTGCTCAGTAGCTTTGATCCTCTCTTGATTATTGTGACTATAGTTTGCAATGGTTTATTTTGTATTCAATAAGAAAAATTGTGTTAATAAAGATTATTGTTTAATAAGCCAGGTATTAACCTGCTAAATATATTAAACTGAAAATCACTAAATGAGTCATTCAATTAAATACATCAAAAAAGGTAGAATGAAATGTTTTATTTCAAATTTTTTTGGTTTACATATGCATTGAAAAGTTATATTTCATGGTGAGCGTTTTGCAAGTCCAGCTTTTCAGAAGACACACTTTTGCAGAGTGAAATGAGTATGAGAAAAAAATCTCAGTGATTAAGGAGACATGTTGATTTTATTGTTTAATTTTATGTTTAAATCAGAGGAATTTCAAACACCACTTAACATGTAGAAATTCTTACTAAGTGATAAAAGCTTGAGTGAATGAGGAAAGCAGATCGCAGGACTTCATGGAGATCATAGCATTACCCCACCACATGGGAGGGAGCAAAACGTAATGTGCATTGAATATCTGTTAAGTATGGGGAACCCTCCTAGGTGCCTATAGAAGACAACTCCTGTAATTCTCTTTAATAAAAATTGTGAGAGAAAGCCAGGCATGGTGGCTCACGCCTGTAATCCCAGCACTTTGGGAACCTGAGGTGGGCGGATCAAGAGGTCAAGAGATCGAGACCATCCTGGCCAACATGGTGAAACCCCTTCTTTACTAAAAATACAAAAAATTAGTCTGGCATGATGGTGCCCGCCTGTAATCCAAGTTACTCAGGAGGCTGAGGCAGAAGAATTGCTTGAATCTGGGAGGCAGAGGTTGCAGTCAGCCGGGATCGCACCATTGCACTCCAGCCTGGTGACAGAGTGAGACTTAATCTCAAAAAAAAAAAAAAAAAAAAACAAACTGTGAGATAAGTAATACTACTCCTATCGCATTAGATATGAAACAGACACAGAAAGGTTTGGTAAATTTCCAAAGACCCAGTCTGAGTCAAGTGATCACCATCTACCTGTTCACACCTGTGGTTAATAGTTGTAAGCATGGTGTAGAAGATGAGGACATCTTGCAAATGAGCTTTGTAAATGTTATCTAAAGCTAAGGTAGTTTCTCTCTCATCAAAAAGTCAAAAGTCTAAAAATGTATGAGTACCATTGAAGTTAAATAAGATATAGAGATAAATATTGAAATTTGAAACATTTTATTTAGGAAGCAAGAATTGCAATTCAGGACATACACAGAGACCAGGTGATCTTCAGTATGTCCAAAGAACAAAGAGACAGGAGTTTTATTAAAGAATTGTTACATATTGTTTTGAAAGAAAGCTCATTGGCACTAGAGAAGCTTTTGGACTCTGGCAAGCTCTGGTTGGTGAGTCATGGCAGGAATTAAAACAAGTCTTAGAGTCACAAATTGTTGCTTCAGCAGCTACCAGGTAAAACTGGCCCTGGGGTGACAGCAGGCCATTTCAGCAGCTGGGCTTGGAGAAAATACATTCGTGGAGTAGGTGCTATGTCCCCCACGTATGTTTTCCTCTCTGGCCCCTCAGTTCTGATTTAACTGAGTATGTATGACAAGAATTGCCCAATTTGTATTATTAACTTTCACAGTACTTATTTAAAAATAAAACACTATTAGCTAATAACACTTAATACAATGGAAAATGCAATAGAAAGGAGTAAAATATGCATATCTGATAGATCAACTCAGAGAAATGAGGTATTCTGTTCAATAGGTTCATAAATGCCATGGTCTGAATATGTCCCTCAAAATTCCTATGTTGAAATCGTAACCATCAAAGTTTTGGAATTAAGAGGTGGGAGGTAATTAGATCATGAATTCTCATGAATGGGGTTAATGCTGTTTTAAAAGAGGCCTGAAGGAAGCTGTTATCCCTTTACACCATGTGAGGACACAGTGAGAAACTGCTATATATACACTAGGAAACAGGCCCACAGCAGACACAGAGTCTGCCAGCACCATCATCTTGGACTTCCCAGCCTCCAGAACTGTGAGCAACAAATGTGTGTTGTTTAGAAGCCACCTACTTTATGTTATTTTGTTATAACAGCCCAGATGGACTAAGACAATAAATATGGTGAAATTATGTAAGAACTGCAATATACACATAAAATAATTTAATTGGGCTTAAGCTGTCTCTATTCTTTACTTCTGCAAAGATCAACATGCTGAAACATAGTGAAAGATGAAGTATTTGTGAATGAAACAATGTAATCGGTACCAGAGAGTGGAACAAAAACTAGCTATTGTTTGTGGTGGCAGGCGCCTGTAGTCCCAGCTACTCGGGAGGCTGAGGCAGGAGAATGGCATGAACCCAGGAGGTGGAGCTCGCAGTGAGCCGAGATTGTGCCACTGCACTCCAGCCTGGGCAACAGAGCAAGACTCCATCTCAAAAACAAACAACAAACAAACAACAACAACAACAAAACTAGCTATTGTTTTTACAACCAAGCAAAATATAGCAGGTCCACACATAACATTTTTTCATTCAATGTCATTCTGTTATAATATTAACGAGGAAAAAAATTTGATTCCCAGCCAGGGCTGCTGTCTGTGGGGTGTGCACTTTCTCCCCATGTCTGCGTGGGTTTTCTCCAGGGACTCTGGTTTCCTCCCACATCCCAAAGACATGCATGCCAGGTTAACTGGTGTGTCTCAATTGTCTGAGTGTGAGAGTGTGGGTGTGTGAGTGTGCCCTGCCATAGAATGGGGTTGATTCCCACCTTGTGCCTTGAGCTGCTGGGATGGGCTCTGGCCACCTGCGACCCTGAACCAGAATCACTGGGTATATAATTACCTTAAATTGTTTTCATTAATCTTAGATGTATGTATAGATAACATTTATTTCAATGTTTAGTGTTAGAAGTGTTTGGGGTCTTTATTTAGCGATTTAGTGGTGTTTTCGTGACCAGAAATATGCCCTAGGAACTTAACTGCTGTTTTTATTAATTCACCTGTAGTGAAATTGGTTTTGTGTTACCTTGTTTTGCTTAAAGTCACAGTTTCCAAATACCTATAGACAATGTTAAGTGAGGACTTCCTGTAAGTAGTTTAGATTGAGGAGCTTCCACACACTGACAAACTCGTTTAGTGGCTACTGTGTTAGGCACCACGAAAGAGACACCAGATGTAGCGGAGAGCAAGGAAGATGAGGCTTGTCCCCTGCCTGGATGGTTTTAATGAGAAACTGTGCTCAGGGCAACTGCATGGACATCATGTGACTTGTGCAGTCACACAGAGCCTCACACTCAGATGGTCCCTGAGCCTGACTTTCATGCTCTGTGAACATCATCTTGAAATTCTTAATAATTTTTAAAGAGGGAGCCCTCATTTTTATCTTTCACAGGGCCTCACAAGCTATGCGGCCAATTCTGACAACAAGCGAAGGGAGTGTTAAAAAAAGGTGAAGTCACTGGGGCTTTGATAGCATTAAAGGAGTTCATCTAATCTTGGGTGGGTGGGAGGTGTCAGGGAAGTGTCTGAGGAAGCCAGGATGTCCACTGGATGAGGAATGCTCCATGCAGAGTTGCTAGCTTGTGAAAAGTCCTAAGTCATTTTTCTTGTGCTGCATTCCATATTTTCTCTTTGTTTTTGGCTCTTAGCATTTTTGCCATGACACATCTAGTTATGGATCTCTTTGCATATATACTTCTTGGAGTTTGTTGAATTTCTTGAATGTGTAGATCCATGTTTTCAGCACATTTGAGAAGTTTTCAGCCATTATATCTTCAAATATTTTTTTCTTCTTCTTTTCCTCTCTTCTTCTGCTACTCCCATTACACATGCTGGTGTACCTAGTGAATCCAGCATTTGTCTGTGGCTCTGCTTATTTTCATTCATTCTTTTTTTTCCAGATTATATGATCTGTATTGATCTGTCTTCAAACTCTGATTCTTGAGTTCAAATTTAGTGTCAAAACATTAGTAAATTTTTCATTTGGGCTATTACATTTTCACCTCCATGATTTCCATATGGTTCTTTTTTTATCTCTGTGTTGGTATTTCTCTATTTGATGAGACATTGTCACCAGACCTTCCTGTACTTCTTTAAACATGTTTTCCTCTAGTAAATTGAACAATTGATAATGGCTGCTTGGAAGTCTTTGCTATTAAATCTGAAATCTGGGCCCTCTCACAAGCTATTTGTTTGCTTTTTCTCCTGGTGTATGGGTTATGCTTTCCTGTTTCTTTGTATGACTCACATTTTTTTGCTGAAAACTGAACAGTTTAGGTAATTGTGATATTGTGAAATATATATTTGTTCCTCATCCCTGTCTCCCTGCATACAACTTTTAAAATCCTTGCAGTCTCCAAAATGTTAACTGCCTTTTTGTATGCTAATGAGTTGACTAGCGGCTGTCAGCCCCTAGATGGCTTCAAGATGGGGCTGGTCACTGGAAAGACCAAGGCATGATTAGAGGGTTGAGGCTTTCAGCCTCAACTAGTGCTGAAGGTTAAGTTGGTTGCCAGTGGTCAATGATTTAATCAATTATGCCTATGTAATGAAGCCTCCTTATAATCCCAAAAGGACAGAGTTTGGGAGCTTCCAGAAAGCTGAACTTGTGGAGGTTTCTGGAGGGTGACAAACCCAGGGAGAGCATGGAAGCTCCACAAGCCTCCCCCCTGACCTCCCCTTAAACATGTCTTCATCTCTCTCTTTTGTAATATCCTTTACAGTAAACAAAAAGTGTTTTTCTAAGCTCTGTGAGCAGCTCTAGCAAATTAATTGAACCCAAGGAGGAGGTCCTGGGAACCCTGATTTATAGCTCCTAGGTCAGAAGCACAGGTGAAAAAAACCCTGGGGCTTGCTATTGGCACCAAAATTAGAGAGCAATGTTGTGAGACTGAGCCCTCAACCTATGGGATCTGATGATAGGTATGATAGACTGAGCCCTCAACCTATGGGATCTGATCTCCAAGTAGATAGTGGCAGAATTGGGTTGAATTAGAGGACACACATCTGGTGTCTGCTGCAGAAATGATTACTTGCTTGATGTGTCAGAAAATCCCCCCAAGCTCCATCTGGTGTCAGAAGCATGTTGTGAGTGCACAGTAGGAAAAATTGAATTTCTTTCTTCAATTCAGTAATACAGTTGACCCTTGAACAACAGAAGTTTGAACTGCGTGGGTCCATTTTAGCTCAGATAGTTTTCAGTAAAGGTTATACCTAGTGCACCTGCCTCTCCGTCCTCCCCTTCCACCTCCTCCACCTCTTCCGCCTCTGCCACCTCTGACACAGCAAGACCAACTGCTCCTCTTGCTCCTCCTTTCCAGCCTATTCAACATGAAGACTATAAGGATGAAGACCTTTATGATGATCTACTGCCACTTAATGAATAGTAAAGACATTTTCTCTGCCTTATGATTTTCTTAATAACATTTTCCTCTAGCTTACTTTATTGTAAGAATATAGTATAAGATACATATAACATACACAATATGTGTTAATTGACTTTTTACACTATCAATAAGGCTTCCAGTCAACAGTAGGCTATTAGTAGTTAAGTTTTTGAGAAGCCAAAAGTCTTGTGTGGATTTTCAAGAGTGTTGGGTATTGCTGCTCCTAACCTTCATGTTATTCAAGGGTCAACTGTATAATGTAGCAGCTGTGGATACTAATTCCCTTCACCCTCTCTCCAGGTCTTGTTTTTGTTGCTGTTTGCTCATTTGTATGGTGATTTGTTAGACTATTTTAGAGAAATCTATTTCCTTCACCAAGTGAAGCCTTTGAAGCCTTTGGTGTCACACCTTAGAAGGTTCAGGCTTGGCCTTGCACACAACCCCCTGGGATGACATGGTTTTAGCACAGCTCTCTTTAACTGTCTCTTTCCGTGATCTCTCTGATAAGCTGTCTGCTTCATTTGACATCACACCAAGTAATTGCTGGCTGATTGCTCTATTATTTTTGCTTATGCCCTGGGGCATATCTTGCTCCACAGTCTACTCCAATTAATTTCAGGCAGGGGTAGTTTTGGGACTATCTTTAAGGCTTGTTCTGACCCAGGAGGGGTCCTGTTAACTTTCTTTTTTCACAATTCTCTCTGATAAACTCCATGGCCTATGGTTTAGCTTGTTGCTCTTAATGAACAGCATGGTTTTTGAGACTGTTCTGAGGCTTGCACGTCACCACACTTTCACATAAAATCAGTTCCTTTGGTGACATCTTTGGAACTCTCTGTTCCTGTGAAATATCTTTCCCTCTGGCCAAAATATTTGAGCCATATGTTGAGTGTTGGGTGGGATGGCAACTTCTAATCTTCTTGGCTTGCCTCTCCCAGAGTGGAATCTCTGCTCTCCAAGTGAGCTCATGTGAGGACAGTTGGGAAACCAGGATTCTTCCTGGGATAGAGCCTCCACCCTGTGAGTAGAGCCTGGATGGAGGAAAGGAGACTTTGACCTCTTGGTCACACTCACCAGAAATTTAGCCTCTTAAATGTGGAGTTGGAAGAGATAAGAAATGCTAGTGTCCTGTGTCACCCAGTGAAATACCATATCCCATGGTTGCGAGCTGAGGGAACAGCTTTGTCTTTTTGTCCAAATCTGTCTGGAGTGGAGTTTCTGCCAAGCTGAGTTGGGATTGGGGGTGGGGATGTAGTGAGGAAGATTGCAAGGATTTCAGGAGTTGTATGCAGGGAGACAGGGAGTAGAACATAGCTCAAATGTCATGGACTCTTGCTGTTTTTACCAAGATTTAGTAGGTTTAAAAAATAAATAAATAAAGATGGCTTCTTTTGCTATATGTGCTTAAGACAATTTCCAGACGCTTTAAATGTGTTTGTTTTCCAAATAGTTTTTTTTCTTCTTAACGAGTTATGCTTGTTTCCCAGGAGACTGGGTTCAGAGCTCCTCACACTGCCATCTTGTAAGTTGGTAATATTTCACAAAGCTGATCACAAATCCTTTTTGAAGTTTTTCTTTCTGATTGGCCCATGTTAACATCACACATCTAAATTCACATTTTTTATCCCATAGGCTTTAAATACATTTTTTCCCCCAAATTTCTGTCTCTCGACCCATCCTATTCTTAGAACTCCACTTGTATATATCCTGCTGCTTAGCCGTTGCCTCTTCTTGGATGTCTAAAAGACATCTCAACTGGACACAGCCCAGATGAAGTTCTGGATTCACTCCCACCAGTGAATTTTCTCTTCCTTCAGTCTTTTTAGTAAAGAGCAACAGCATCTGGAAATTACAGGTCTCCCTTTACCAAGTCACTCTGAAGTTGCAATATCATGAATGTATTGGTATCATTAAGAGTTATTCAGTAAGTTTTTGAAGAATGAATGAATGAATTATTCCCATTTTATAGATGATGAAATGGAAGCTTAGAGAGATCAAATAAATTGCTGGATTTGAATCCAGCCTGAGAAGCAATTATTATTATTATTTTCTTCCTCTTATCCTTCTTCTTCTTCTTCTTCTCCTCCTCCTCCTCCTCCTCCTCCTCCTCCTTCTTCTTTCTTCTTCTTCTCCTTCTCCTTCCCCTTCCCCTTTTCCTTTTCCTTCTCCTTCAGGGGTTCAAGACCAGCCTGGCCAACATGGTGAAACCCTGTCCCTACTAAAAAATATATATATACAAAAAATTAGCTGGTGTAGTGGCGGGCCTCTGTAATCCCAGCTACTCAGGAGGCTGAGGCAGAGAGCTGCTTGAACCTGGGAGGTGGAAGTTGCAGTAAGCCAAGATCATGCCACTGCACTCCACCCTGCGTGACAGAGCGTGACTCTGTGTCAAAAAAAAAAAAAAAAAAAGGAAGGAAGGAAGGAGAAAGAAAGAGAAAGAAAGAAAGAAACAAACAAAGAAAGAAACAAAGAAAGAAAGAAAGGAAGAAAACAAAGAAGGAGAGAAATTAGCTCACATGTTTGTGGAGCCTGGCAAGTGTGAATTGTGCAGGGCAGGGCAGTAGGCTGCAGACCCAGAGAAGAGCTGCTGTTGCAGATAGAGTCCGAAGGCAGTCTGGAGGTGAGAGATCCAAGATCAACAAGATCAAGGTGTCTGCAGAGCTGGTTTCTCCTGAGGCCTTTCTCCCTGTCTTGTACTGTGTCCTAATATAGTTTTCCCTCTCTATGTGTCTGTGTCTACATTTACTCTTATGAGGTAATTAAGGTAAAATGAAGTCATATCAGCCCACCCATATGACCTCATTTTTCCTTATCGCCTCTGTAAAGGCCCTATCTCCAAATACAGTCCCATTCTGAGGGGCTGGGAATTAGAACTTCAACAGATAAATTTGAGGGGTACAAAACTTAGTCCATAAAAAACAACGCAGCCCATAACAGAGTGCCATATATTTAGTATGTCAAGTAGATCTGAGAAGGGAAAACTGGAGCCATTGAGGAAAAGATTTTTTTTTTAATCAGCTTTTCTAGCAAGAATAAAGAGGACTGGGGTATGTGAGAGGAACCGCTCAATCTCCAAACAGCACAACTGGCTGTGGAAAGCAAAGAACAAGAGGTTCATTAGGGCAGAATGCTGAGTCAGCTGGGAGATTCTGGGCCACCCACAGGAAAGGAAACATGAGGAGATTGGTGCTCGGTTTTGGACAGGCAACGTCTGCAGTTCTGAATGGTGGAAAAAGTTACAGGTATCCAACGAGCAAATTCCAGGTGGAGCTGGAATTTGAGACAGAAGTCGGACTTGGACAGAGATTCTGGAGTCATCGGAATTTTGGTGATCGTTGAAGATGTTAAATAGCTCAGGGAAAGAATGTAAAGAGAAAAACACTGAGGAAAGCTCTTTTGGAAAGAGTAAAAAGAACCAGAGGAGATGCAAAGAGGAATGATAACTTGTGGGTAAGAAAGACTCAGAAAGTAGAAAGCAGTGAAGATCACATCAAACTTCTCAAATACTTTTCTTAATTCATAGCAAAAATTTTTGGGCTAATATTATCTAAGAATTATGCCACTCCCTGGAGCTATCAGCACTTAATGTCCCCGCTAAGTGGAAGTGGGAAGAGAAGCTAGGTGTGCATCGGGTTTATTAAAAGCAGCAGCCCTATGGAGCTCCACCTACCTACAAAATCCCAAGGGGGCAATGTCAATCCAGAAATATGACACCATGATTTAGATCATGCTATCACTCCTTACTTTTTCTCCTTCCTGTTCTTTTCTCAAGTGTACAGAGAGAGCGAGCATACTGCACACACCATATTTAAAATTCCCCATTCCCCAAAACTATAGGTCAGAGAACCAATATTTTATTTGATCATCATTTGACCTCAGACATAGTGATTAATTTTCCAGGCCTCAGTGGCCACCTTGCCCCACCCCATCTGCTGCCTACAGATGGCTGCAGGATCTCTGTCAGCAATGTCATGTCCCTCCTGGTGTTAGTCTAGCCTGGCAGTAGTTGCTTAGTAGCAAGAGATACTGCTATGTCACATCTATAAAAATAGCCAAAATCTGGACTACTGACAAGGACCCAGGAGTTACAATTTTATCACTCTAAATGTCAAAAAGCCAGAACATATTCTAATATACCCTCTCCAAAAAGTTTTAGTGTATTCTATTAAGAAATGTTTTCTACAGAAAATACAAATTTAAATGTATTGCATAAATCTATAGGAAAATGTTATTTGTTTGAAAAAAAGATTCTGTCAAAAGACCAATAAGTTTTTTTACTTACATTTGATCATGTGAGCCATAGTGACCCATGGTTGTGTAAAAACTGGAAAAATGTGTAGGTCTTATTGCTTAACAGGTATTGAATTTTTCAAATAGCCAAGTCTTTTTCTCTGAAACAGGTAGGCATTTATAGAACGGCAAACATGATTTCGTGAATTTGGTAATAATTGTTCCTCCCATCTCTTTATCACCCAAACTCAACATATCTGTTTGCAAACATGAAAGACTCCTGTGGAACCCTTTGGGCTGGGTTTCTGCTGTCTTCTTTCTGATCACTAGATGGCACTCCATTCATATTACTTCACAGACAAGGAAGCCCAACACAGTGGATTATTTGAATTGCAGCCGAATTTATAGCCTTAGAAGAAAAGAGCATAATAACAGTGGAAGTGATTTAGAAAGATACTGGAAAGATGAGGGGAGCAAAGGAAGTGGTTTTTCAGTAATATTTACACAGAAACAACAGGGAGGTGTTTATAAACGTATCTTTTCTGTACATCTGTTCTGAGTAGGGAAGGAGTTTCCCAGCTAGGTTAGATCTCCAAATTCAGCCTAGGTGGAAGTGAACCAAAATGTTTCAAGTAGTAGGTGGCCCATCACCCTCAGACAGAGGATGAAAGCGGACTTCCCTGCTGCACTCAACAACCCATCTAAAAATAGTACCTGCTTAAGAAATGTCCTCTAATAGTCATTTTATAAATGAAAACTGGTCACAGGCTGTGTCTTATACTGGACACTGGGAGCACACAACACACACTCTCAACACGCTATTTACTCAGTGGCAATGTGTCTGGAATTAGTTCCTTCCGGTGGGTTCTTGGTCTCTCTGACTTCAAGAACGAAGCCGCAGGCCCTCGCGGTGAGTGTTACACTTCTTAAAGATGGTGTGTCCGGAGTTTGTTCCTTCAGATGTTCAGATGTGCCCGGAGTTTCCTCCTTCTGGTGGGTTCATGGTCTCGCTCACTTCAGGAATGAAGCCGCAGACCTTCGCAGTGAGTGTTGCAGCTCTTAAAGGTGCCGCCTCTGGAGTTGTTTCTTCCTCCCAGAGGGTTCGTGATCTCGCTGACTTGAGAAGTGAAGCTGTAGACCTTCACAGTGAGTGTTACAGCTCATAAAGGTAGTGCGGACCCAAACAGTGAGCAGCAGCGAGATTTACTATGAAGAGTGAAAGAACGAAGCTTCCACAGCATGGAAGAGAACCCGAGCGGGTTGCCGGTGCTGGCTCTAGTGGCCAGCTTTTATTCCCTTATTTGGCCCCGCCCACGTCCTGCTGATTGGTCCGTTTTTACAGCGTGCTGACAGGTGTGTTTACAAATCTTTAGCTAGACACAGAGTGCTGATTGGTGCGTTTTTACAGAGTGCTGATTGGTGCATTTACAAACCTTTAGTGAGACACAGAGCACTGATTGGTGTGTTTATAGTCCTTTAGCTAGACAGAAAAGTTCTCCAAGTCCCCACCCGACCCAGAAGCCCAGCCGGCTTCACCTCCCAGCAAGAGATACCCCTACTTCACATCTATAGGCACAGCCAAAAACTGGTTACTGACAAGGACCCAGGAGATACAATTTTATCACTCTAGATATCACACACACATACACACCACACAAACACACAAAAGACACACACAATGCATAATATCCATAACACATATACATAACACACACCTATACACACACTTATGCACACACCATGAAAACACACAGAACACACTCACAATGCACACTTATACACACAACACAGTCATAACACACGTAAACACAAACACACACATAATACACACTTATATGCACAATGTATACGTAAACACATACAATACACAAACTTATAACACACTTATACACACCCAGTATACACAACACATAAATACTCATACACATACACTCACATACACTCACACCCCAATATCAAGATTATTTAGCTTACCAAAATGATTCACTTTCAAAGGAGGATAGCACTTAAAATGACAGAGGGTGGAGAAGGGACTCCTTAGACAACAAGTCTCCTTCGCCTCTGGTCATCATCTCCTGCTTACAGAATATGGAAATTTTTCTCACTAACAGAAGACTAACAAAATTAAAGAATGCATTAATATTTTATGTAGTTTAAAGATGGCAATCTGTCTTGTGCATCATAAAAATATATGTGAGATAATGGTAGAAATCTCCCTCAATTTGCTTGTTTCACATCACTGCATTTACGATTCTCTTTGGTGCTTTTAATTATTACAAATCATCCTGAAATGTTCTGGGCGGGTATAGTTCCTTTCCTTCTGAAGTTTCTTTTTTTCTCTCTTTTTTCTTTTTTTGAGACAGAGTCTCACTCTGTCACCAGGCTGGAGTGCAGTGGAAAGATCTCAGCTCACTGCAGCCTCCACCTCCTGGGTTCAAGAGATTCTCCTGTCTCAGCCTCCCGAGTAGCTGGGACTACAGGTGTGCACCACCACACCAACTAATTTTTGTATTTTTAGTAGAGACGGGGTTTCATCATGTTAGCCAGGCTGGTCTCGATCTCTTGACCTGGTGATCTTCCCGCCTCGGCCTCCGAAAGTGCTGGGGTTACAGGCGTGAGCCACTGCACCTGGCCCTGAAGGTTCTTTATAAAGCGTGTCCAGTGTTATAACAAGGCCTGTTACATTTGGTGTCCAAGGATGTGTGAATTGGTGGCATCACTGTTTTCCATCCCAACACCCCATGTCTTACTGATCCAGGTCTGACAGTGCGTCAGTTCTTTTGATTCCGTTATATGTCATGCAGAATTTCATAATTATTAACAGTAATGCAAAACAACACAATTCTTCTTTTAAGGTAAAGACAGGTATTGGCTTTATACATGGTTATTATGCCTGAGGATACTCACTTTCCTGGGACCAATATCACATATTAAAGATCCATGAGCACACACTCCCTCCAAAATAAATAAATAAAAAATTGAGAGGAAATGAGGTTACATAAACTACCTTTTATTTTTATTTTTTTTTGAAAAGGAGTCTCGCTCTGTCGCCCAGGCTGGAGTGCAGTGGCGGGATCTCGGCTCACTGCAAGCTCTGCCTCCCGGGTTCACGCCATTCTCCTGCCTCAGCCTCCTCAGCAGCTGGGACTACAGGTGCCCACCACCACGCCCGGCTAATCTTTTTGTATTTTTAGTAGAGAGGGGGTTTCACTGTGTTAGCCAGGATGGTCTCAATCTCCTGACTTTGTGATCCACCCGCCTCAGCCTCCCGAAGTGCTGGGATTACAGGCGTGAGCCACCGTGCCTGGACAACTACCTTTTAAATGTGACATTTTGTCCACACATCTCACTATCCACTGAAATGGACTGAAATAACAGTACTGCTGTGTTCTATACGATAATTACAAAAGAGATAAATCTAAATTGATAAAATATGGACATGGCAGTAAAGCACAAAATAATGTGAAATTATATCACCTAGAGATAAACACTGTTAACATTTTAACATTTTGGTCTACTTTTTTCCATTTTCTTTCTCTATGTATATAGTTACAAGAATAGGCGTCTAAAAGCAAAACATACTGCTCTTGTTTTTCATGCAGCCATCTATGGAGAACATTGCCATTGTCAATCAACATTTTTCTACAACAAGAGTTTTAATGGCCATATGGTACCCTATCTTATGGTTGTATCATAACTTAGCATTTATCACCATTGTATAAAACAGTCTGATAAGCATTCTTTTTCCGCTTCTTGCAATTGTTGAGTCCAGATCTAAGTCAGATTGCCTGGATTCAAATTTTCACAGTGTTATGACCCTACTAAGTTCTGTGTCTTTGGGTGAGTTTTATAAACTCCAAAAGCCTCATTTTGCTAAGATGATATAACAATAATAATAGTATCTATCTTATACAGTTCAAATGGGGATTAAATAAGAAAATGCATGCCTGGCACAATCCCTGGCACACAGTAAGCCATCAGTCAATATTAACCATTACTATGATTAAATATCTATCTGCTTACATCAAATATTACCTTTGGATAGATTCCCATGCATGATAATTACTTGGTCAAGGGTATGTGCAGTTATTGATACCTATTTAAAAGTTATCCCTTTAATGTTAAAAAGTGAGTGACACCTAACACTTTGGGGGCACTGACTTCTTTGAGTATTCAATGGAATCCATGGGCCTTCTCCCCTAGAGAAAAATATTTATGTACGCAAAATTTCGATACCATTTTGGGTGATCCATGGAACCCCTAAAGTCCGTTTATGGATCATTTAATATTTCTTGGATCTCACATTAAGACACACTGATTTCAGTGGGTAATCAACTACCTTTTCCATGTTGTAATATATTTATAGGGAATTGTATCTATATTTATTGTCTGAGGACATTTATACAGCATCAACATTTCCTTTGGTCATGCAGTCCCATCAGTGATATTTTCCTCTTAATTTCAGATGGGCTTTTTATGACAATAGAAAATGAGATCAATAACTTTACATTATGTATAAGTATTCAAATCATGGCACTTAAACTTTTTTTCTATTTGTTTTCCACCAGTTAGGGGTGCCTAGAACCTTTCTTGAAACCAAATGGTCAGAAATTAGAGCTTTCTAAGAAATGAATTGAGGTCCCATATTTTCTAACTTTTTTTTCAGCTGTAAAACCTTTTTATAAAATGAAATCTTTGGTAAGGCAAATAAATTTTTAAATGCTTTTTTTAATCAGTAAAAATATTAGATATGTAAAATTACAACATGTATCTTTTATAAAACTGATGAGTGAGAACTATGTCTTTTTTAAAGAACATAACATTTTAAATTGAATTAGTAAATAAAAGTTGTGGTATTAAATTAGTAATAACACACAATTTATTTCAGTAGTTTTTGGTTAAACCAGAATTGAGAAAATCCTCATTCAAACATAAGTAACAACGAATGGGAAGATTTTGCCAAAAATTAGCTTTGCAATCTCAAAACACATTTTAAGTTGGCTTACCAGAATGAAAAAGGAATAAGAATTATTTTTCTTTAGATTTGATGTATTAATTATATCTAATGATTGATGCATTTCATATCATAAATATAAAAGTCAGCAAGAAACCTAAAACTTACAATAAGTGCCGAAGTTATCATACTTTCTATTTTCTCAAATTGTGCTGCTGAACCTTATCTTTAACAAGAGCATGAGCCATGCAGAGACTCACCTTTCTCTAGCAATTATTTGAGAATAAAGCATGTGTACCAGAGTAATAACTTGCACATGCAATTTTATGTAAGAAGTTATGCAGAAATCTGTTTTTTAGATACAAAGTACAGGACTTTACTCTTCAAATGGTACAACAATTATAATAAATTCAAGAACAGATACATAGATGACAGGAGACGTTTGCTACCAAGCGCAAAATAAGCTAACTTACATAGGTGGTCTCCAAACTCCTGTTGAGTTTTTGGCTAAATCCCAATTTGCACGTGCATTGGAAAAGTCTCCAAGGAGGCCAGAGGAACAAACAACTTCCAAGGAGATAGCACTTGCTGGGAGCTGTAGGCCTACTCATCCCAGACACACAAGGTTATGAGCTGTTTACATTCACCAAGCTATAGTAGAGAGACCTTACTGAAAAGAAGATAGTCAGTAGAGACCCCAGAAGGGCCATCTACTAAGAGAGGAGCTAAGCCAGCCCCTGAATAAAAGCTACTATAGATCCACTGTAAAAATGATTAAAAATGAGTCTCTAAAGGACCAAACACATCTGCAAATAATGAAGTGGCCTGCCAGGAAAAAGCCCAATATTGCTTAAATAAATGCAACAAAATTTAGAATTCATCAATGTAAAATTCACAATGTCCAGCACCAACAACAAAAATTAGTGGGTATGCTAAGAGCAGGAAAATACAACTCATTATTACCAAGAGAAAAAAATAATCTGTAGAAATAGATTCATAGATGACAGAGATGATAGAATCAGAAAATGAAAGTTAAAAAGCTGTTATGAAAATGCTCAAATATTTAAAAGAAAACATGAGCATAATGAGAACAGAAATGGCAGATATAAAAAACACAATGGGGCCGGGCGCAGTGGCGCACACCTGTAATCCCAGCACTTTGGGGGACTGAGGCGGGTGGATCACCTGAGGTCAGGAGTTCGAGACTAGCCTGCCCAACATGGAGAAACCCCATCTCTACTAAAAATACAAAAAAAAAAATTAGTCGGGGCTGGTGGTGCATGCCTGTAATCCCATCTACTTGGGAGGCTGAGGCAGGAGAATCATTTGAACCCGGGAGGTGGAGGTTGCAGTGAGCTGAGATCGCAGTACTGCACTCCAGCCTGGGAAACAAGAGTGAAACTCCGTCTAAAATAAAATAAAATACACAATAGGTACTATCAACAGAGTATAAAGGTAACCCCAGAATGGGGGAAAATATTTGCAAATCATCTATCTGTTAAGGGGTTAATACCCAGAATACATAAAGAACTCCTGCACTCAACAAAAACAATATACTGACAATTTATTTTTTATAATGGGCAAAGGAGGAGAATAGACATTTCTCCAAAGAAGAACACAAAATGCCAACTGGCCAGGTGTGGTGGCTCAGGTTTGTAATCCCAGCACTTTGGGAGTCCAATCCAGGTGGATCAATTGAGTTCAAGACCAGCCTAGGAAACATAGCAAAACCCCATCTCTACCAAAAATACAAATACAAATTAGCCAGGCCTGGTGGCGTGTGCCTGTGGTCTGAGCTACTTGGGAGCCTGAGGCTGCAGCCAGGAAGCTGAGGCTGCAGTGAGCCGTGATTGCACCATTGCACAACAGCCTGGGTGACAGAGCAAGACCCTGTATCAAAATAAATAAATAAACAAAAAACAAATGGTTAATAGGCACATGAAAAGATACCTAATGTCATTCATCATTAGAGAAATATAAATCAAAACCATAAGATATCACTTTGCAAAAACTGGGATGGATATTATAAGCAAGCAAACAAAAAATAACAAGTGTTGGCAAGGATGTAGAGAAACTAGGAAACTTGTGCACTCCTGGTAGGCAATGGTGCAGCCACTGTGGAAAACAGTATGGCAATTCTTCAGAAAATTAAAAATAGAATTACTATATGATCCTGCAACTCCACTTCTTGTTATATTCACAAAATATTTGAAAGCAGGGACTTGAACAGATATTTGTACACCCATGTTGATGCCAATGTTATTCATGATAGGCAAGGAGTGTAAGCAACCCAAGTGTCCATAGATGGATGAACGTATAAACAAAATGTGATATATCCATACAATGAAATATTATTCAGTCCTAAAAAGGAAGGAAGTTCTGAAACATGCTCTAACCTGGATGAAACTTGAAGACATTTAGTTAAGTAAAAGAAGGCTGTCACAAAATAACAAATACTGTATGATTCCACTCTTAAGATATTTCTAAAGTAGCAAAATCCACAGAAACAGAAAGTAGAATGGTGGTTGCCAAAGGCCAGAGGGGAGGAGGAAATGGGGAGTGAGTGTTTAATGAGCATAGAGTTTTAATTTGGGATCATGAAAAAGTTCTGGTGGTGGATAGTGGTGATGATTGGACAGCAATGTTTAAAACCATTGAACTATACTCTTAAAAATGGTTAAAATGCTAACTTTTTTGGTTATGTATATTTTACCACAACTAAAACAAAGTACAACATAAAATGTCTAAAGGTGGAAAATACAATAATCTAACTTGAAAAATATATTGAATTGGATTAACAGTCAATTAGGATGTAGAGAAGAAACGATCAGTGAACTTGTATTTATGGCAATAGGAGCTATCAAAGAGAGAAAATACCAGAAAAAATAGAGCCTCCATGACAGTATCAAGGAGCCTACCATGTAAATGGAGTCCCAGAAGTAAGAGAAATGAGAGGACAGAAAAAAATATTTGAGAAAAAAATGGGCCGAAATAAAGGCTTTTTCAAACAAACGAAAGCAGAGAGAAATCACTAGCAGATCTGCACTACAAGAAACATTAAAGCAAGTTGTTCACTGAAAGGAAACCAGGTGAAAATATGAATCCTTAGAAAGATATGAAGAGCATCAAAGATAGTAAGTCTCTTGCAAATAACCCATATATTAAAAACATTTTTCTCATTCAAAAAAACTTTTGAAAGGTTATTTACCCTTTAAAGTAAAAATAATAAAGTTTTATTTTAAAATGTTTTTGTTATACATTTTACTTCTACATGTTTTGTAAAGGTTTCACAAAACATATAGAAGTGACATGTATAACAATGATAGTGCAAAGGATTACAAGAAGAAATGGAATTATAAAGTTATAAAGTATTTAGATTAAATGTGAAGGGGTATAATATTATTTAATTATAGACCTTGAAAATTTAAACACGCATATAGCTAACCATGCAGTTATCATTATGAAAGTAAAACAAAGAGGTATAACTAATAAAACAATAGCTGCAATAGTCGAATACTAAATATCAATCAATTAATTCAACAAAAGGCAGAAAAAGAAAAAAAAAACAAAAAGGAAGAGAATACAGATTTATTTTAACCATACTGATATTTGCAATAAATAGAAATATTCAAAACGTATTAAAAACAGAGATTGTTAGTCTGGATTTAAAAAAGTAAGTCTTCCTGAAAGGAACCCAGTTGAATAAAGATCTGTTACACAAATATAAGGATGCTGGAGGAACTGCAATAATACAAGCAAAGTAAACTTTAAAACAAGCGATGTGGCTGGGTGTGGTGGCTCACATCTGTAATCCCAGAACTTTGGGAGCCCGAGAGGGGGGTGGATCACCTGAGGTCAGGAGTTCGAGACCAGCCTGGACAACATAGTGAAACCCAATCTCTACTAAAAAAAGGAAAAAAAAATACAAAAATTAGCCGGGCATGTTGGTGGGCACCTGTAAGCCCAGCTACTCGGGAGGCTGAGGCAGGAGAATCACTTGAACCTGGGAGGTGGTGATTGCAGTGAGCCAAGATCACACCACTGCACTCCAGCCTGAGTGACAAGAGAGAAACTCCATCTCAAAATAAATAAATACATAAAATGAAACAAGGGATGTTATCAGGAATGAAGGGAGACATTCCATAATAATAAAGGAAACAATTCATGGAAAAGACATAAAAATCCTAATTATGTATGTGTCTTTGATATCCTTTGAATATTTGTCCCCTCCAAAACTCATGTTGATGTTGGATTCCCAGTGTTGGAGTTGGTGCCTGATGGGAGCTGTTTAGGTCATGGGGGTGGATCCCTCAGGAATAACTTCGTGCCACCTTGTGGTAATGAGTGAGTTCTCACTCAATTCATTTCCACTAGAACAGGTTGTTGAAAAGAACCTGGCACCTCTTCCCCCGTCTCTCTACCTCTCTCTCTCCATATGATGCTTGCTCCCCTTCACCTTTCACCATGAGTGGAAGCAGCCTGAAGCCCTCCCCAGAAGAAGATGCTGGTGCCATGCTTCTTGTACAGCCTGCAGAACTGTGAGCCAAATAAACCTCTTTTCTTCATACATTACCCAGCCTTATGTATTCCTGTATAGCAACACAAATGAACTAAGACAACATGGTAACAGAACTTCAAACTCATGAAGCAAGAATTGATAGGATTGAAAGAGAAATAGACAAATCCACAATTATGGTCAGAGATTTCAACCCTCTCTCAATACTTGACAGAAAAAGTAGGCAGAAATTTTAATAAGAAGTCTTATCATTTGACTTGGCCTAACATTTATATAAAACTTGATTCCAAACCCAGAAACTACACATTCTTTACAATTACATGTGAAACATTCATTAAGATAGACCATATTCTGTAACATAAAATAAGTCCCAAAATATTTAAAGAATTGAAATTATATATTGATTTCTGACCACAACACAATTTTTAAAAAAATTACAGCAGAAACATATTTAAACAATCCCCAGATATGTGGAAATTAAACAAAACATCCAAATAATCCATAAATAAATAAATATTATTTATCACAATAAATCACAAAAGAGTGGAAAATAGTTTGAATGGAATGAACATGAAAATACAATATATGAAAATTTATGGGATGCAGCTACAAAGGGAAATTTGTAGATTTAAATACATTGTATAGGACAAAAATTCTGAAATCAGTGACCTCAGTTTCTACCACAGGAAGCTAGAATAATAAGAGCCAAGGAAGAAAATAATAAAAAAGAGTGGAAATCAATCACCTAGAAAAGGTCAGAATATGGAAACCAAAGCCAGTTATTTGAAACAATAAATAAAATTGGAGAACCTCTTTAGAATAAGAAAATTACCAATATCATGAATGAACTACAGGATGTTATTATAGTTCTGACAGGTATTAAATGCATAATAAGAAAATATTATGAATGGCTTTATGCCAATGATAAGCTAGATGAAAGGGACAAATTTTTTGAAAGTCACAATTACCAAAATTGACTCAAGGAGAAATTGAAAACCTGCTCTATATAAATTAAATAAATTGAATTCATAGTTAAAACCTTACAACACAATAACTCCAGATTCAGATGGCTTTACTGGTGAATATTATCAAACATTCAAGAATGCAGTATTATCAATTCTACACAAATGTTTTAAAAAATAAAACAAAAGAATAAGAAACACTTCCCAATTCATTTTATATGATCAACATCCTCTCATACAATAGCCAGACAAAGACAAGAAAAGCAAACTATGCACTGATATCCCTCACTAATATCAACACAAAATTCCTTAACAGAGTGTTAGCAAATTTGATCCAGCTAAATATCAATAGGATCATACCTATTCCAGTGAGATCACTTGAATCATGTGGGATTTATATTTAAATTGTAAGGTTAGTATAACATTCAAAAATCAGTGACTGTAATTCACTGAATAGAAGATTTTTTGAACACACCTATATGATCACCTCAACAGATGCATAAAAAGCATTTGATGAAGTTTAGCACTTCTTAATAATCAAAACTCTAAGCAAGTTAGAAAAAGAAGAGAACTTTCTCAACCTGATAGTGGGAATCTATGCAAAATCTACAGGTCATATCACAGTTAATAGTGAAAGACTGAATCCATGAATCTAAAATCAGTAATAAGAAGACAAAGATGTTTACTTTCGTCACTTGTCTAAGAGGTCCAAATTGGGCAATTTGACAAGGAAAGAAAGCAGACTACACACCTACTGGGAAAAACAAAAAACAAAAAACAAAACCTGTCTGCATTAACATAACATAAACTGAGAGAAAGAAGCCAGGCAGTACATGCTGTATTTGGACCCCAAGAAGAGAGTTAGCAGGTCATTTGAATTGCCTGGGGCTAGAGGTGATATGGAGTTTGACTGGAAAGTGGCAAAAATGGTAGACATGTTCCATTTTTATATTTTGGTGGGGGTTATATAGGTGTATATATTTGCCAAAATCCATTGAGCTTTATGTTTAAAATATATGTATTTTGTCAAATGTAAACTGTATCTCCATCAATATCCTCCATCCAGGAACACACATGCAGTTGAAAAAGTTAGTTTTATTGTTCATTGCAGCAAGGGAGAACCCACACCATAGGGACTGTGGGGTGTCTCTGAATGGCCCTTCTAAGAGGCTGTTAGAAAGGGCATACATGATTTGAGCTTGCATTAGGTGGTTTTGGGGAGGGTTTAAGGAAGCAGGGCTTTGCCCTGGAGAGTATAGTATCAGGCAGCTGGAGTAATTCTATTTTTGTGGCCTGAACAGTGTGCATGCTTTGCATGTGTTCAAACATGATTATGAAATTGTCTGGTTTATGTCTTGATCCACCCCAGTCACAGAATAGCCTTGTCTGATGTTGATGTCAGGCTTAACCAAGGCTTACCTTTGAGTGCATGTCTGCTCACAGCTACACTAAGACCTGTCAGTGAGTACCAGGCTGGCTCCCAGGGTCAAAGGCTGCTTTTCTGCTTCTTATGTCAGTAAAGTGATTTTAAAACTTCATTTTGAAACAGGCAGAACCTTCAAAGCATCCTGAGAATGCAACCTAACACCATACGCTAAACTCTTGATGCTTACTCTGTAGACGAGATCTTGTGCACTGGGCAGACGCACTTGCGGTATTTACTGCTCTAACATCAGATTCTGAATTCCTGCTGATATTTACCAGCTACTGGCTCAAGTTTCCTAGCAATGATGAATATTTCTCTTTCATTGGTGTACACATTGTGAAAAATTCATTCTTTGTCTAGCTGTTGTCTATCATAACTCTTGGTGGACTTTTAATACCAAAACATATTTGATTTAGTGACTCTGTGTCTTGAGGGGAAAGATTGTTTTCTGGTATGCAATTTATATTCTCATCACAGAAGGAATCTTTAACAGTTAATGTAGCCAGTGAGTTTCCTGCTGAATAATGAAGTGTGTAACACAAGAGCCTGTAGATATATGTGTGATGTCATTCTTTTGAAATTCTACCACATGGTGTTCTGAGTACTTTCATTCTGGCTAATTCAGAGAATTCTCATTCTTTAATGAAATATTCAAATGCTGCTTGTCATTCATGTGGTGGAATGACACATTTTCTTTACAAGGAAATCAGGGTTTTGAACGTTTTGTTCTCTTGGTAATTGAAAATAAGTTTCAGAAATTTCCTACTGCTCAAAAAAACAAAGTGTCCAAAAGTCTATGTTAGCCAGGTGCAATGGCTCATGCCTGTAATCCCAGCATTTTGGGAGGTCAAGGGGGTGAATGACCTGAGGTCAGGAGTTCAAGACCAACGTGACCAACATGGCAAAACCCCGTCTCTACTAAAAATACAAAAATTAGCTGGGTGTGGTGGCACACACGCCTGTAATCCCAGCTACTCAGAAGGCTGAGGCAGGAGAATCGCTTGAACTCGGGAGGCAGAAGTTTCAGTGAACCAAGATTGCACCTCTGCACTCCAGCCTGAGAGACAGAGCGAGACTCCATCTCAAAAAAACAAAATCTCAGAGATTAGCAGGTCTTGTTTTGTGCCCCTCTAATGTACCACCTAAGAATGAGGGGCCAGAGGAGCACTGGTCTTTCTGTCTTATCTACCCCTCATCAAATTCATCTCAAATAAACATGCAATCTAAATAAATGGTGTTCTTGGCTTGGCCTTAGCTGCCCTTGACCCTGGAACTTAATAGTGCCTGGGGAATGGGTAGTTATTTCTACTTTTCCCTACCTTGTCTGAAACCATAACTCAGACTTCCCAATTCATGAATTGTTCTTTGCTCAAACTGTGTTACCTTTAATTTGTCAGAAGTTCTTCTTTTTAGCAATACATAAATGAATATATTTAGACCCCTACCTCACACCATATATGAAAATTGACTAAAAATGAATGACAAACCTAAATGTGAGAGTTAAGATAATAAAATTTAGAGAAAGCTTATGACCTTTGTGAACTTGGGTTAGAAAAGTGCAAAGAGGCTGGGCATGGTGGCTCATGCCTGTAATCCCAGCACTTCGGGGGGCTGAGGCAGACGGATCATGAGGTTAGGAGATCGAGACCATCCTGGCTAACACAGTGAAGCCCCATCTCTGCTAAAAATACAAAAAATTAGCTGGGCATGGTGGCAGGTGCCCATAGTCCCAGCTACTCAGGAGGTGAGGCAGGAGAATGGCATGAACCTGGGAGGCAGAGATTGCAGTGAGCCAAGATTGCGCCACTGCACTCTAGCCTGGGTGACAGAGTAAGACTCCATCTCAAAAAAAAAAAAAGAAAGAAAGAAAAGAAAAGTGCAAAGCATGTTTTCCTTCCTGCATGAATTAAAATCTTGATGTCTCAGGAATTAAGGAAGGAGATTATAAATAAATACTCAACTATGACTGCCAGGAGCAGCCTTCAAACCAAGTCGTCTCCTCAGAAACATTTTACAATGTACAGGTGTTAAAAGTAACAGTATGAAATTAAGGAAACCAGTACAGAAAAAGGCAGCAAGATCTGTTTTTTCTTTTCTTTTCTAGGTATCTGTAGATATTTGTTTTTCTTCTTCTGGCCAGAATTTTTTATTTATAGCATGAATCTTAGTAAAAACCCTGGCTCTTTCAATATATTGCATTCTTTCACAGCAATTTTTGTTACTATAGTTACTTTTTGTTTAGAGTGTGATATGGTTTGCCTCTGTGTCCCCACACAAATCTCATCTAGAATTGTAATCCCATGTGTCAATGAAGGGAGGTCATTGGATCATGGAGATGGTTTCCCCATGCTGTTCTTGTGGTAGTGAGTGAGTTCTCACGAGATCTGATGGTTTTATAAGGGGTTCTTCCCACTTTGCTCTTTGCTCGCTCTTGCCTGCTGCCATGTAAGATGTGCCTGCTTTGCCTTCCACCATGATTGTTAAGTTTCCTGAGGCCTTTCCAGCCATGTGGAACTGTGAGTCAATTAAACCTTTTTTCTTTATAAATTATCCAGTCTCTGGTATTTCTTTAAAGTGGTGTGAAAATGGACTAATACAGAGTGCATTGTTGAGAAGGCAAATACCAAAAGTATTTAAACTATGCCCCTACCCTGAAATAGTATTGTTTCCTTTTTCATTTTCCTTTTTTTATCTTTAACGCCTTTGGTGCTTTTTATTTTAAATATACTGTGAATATAATCTATGTCTTTCTTCTTTTAACATTCATGCTTGTGTTTCACATCCTTGATACATGCAGTCACTTGTGTAGTCATTGATCTTGCTGACAAAGCCCTCACTATATATGTGTTTCCTGTTTTTGCTTTTAATTGTATAAAACTGTGCACTCTCAGTTTGTAATTTAAAAAATAACACTTGCAGAATGTAAGAATATATTATAAACTACTCTTATTTTAATCTATTAACTTTTTTCTTCTAAAAATGGTTCCAATTCTGTTGGTAAATTTGCTGTGGGATACATAGCTGATTATTTTGAAATAATTCTTCTCAATTGTAAAGTAATTGGGTGAGTAGCTGTGAAAAATTTTCTAGTACCAACTAATTTTCTGCCGTTAATGCTGACTACTACCTCTTTAAAAATCATTTCCTGGTTCCTCTTCTCAGTGTAGTCACACCGTCTGGTAGGAAAATCTATTTGTGTTGATTATAGAAGGAAAAAGTTAAAACAAATATTTGCCAGTTTTCTGTTAACATTTTCTCACATTTTCCAAGAATGCACCTGTTGTCAGCTTTTATATTTACTTCTGCTTGGTTTCTATTTTGGTTGTTTTTCTCTGGGTCCACAGCTCTAGTTTTAGAATCCACCATAATTGTTTTATTTTTCATCTGAAACTTAATCTCACCTTTCCTACCTGATTGAAAACCCTGGAGTCCAGTCATGTGGACCTACTCCCTGCTGCTTCATAAATTGACCCCAGCCTGCCACCGTGGAGACCGTCTTAATGTTCAGCATGAGTTTGGAAATCAGCATCATAGACAGGTGGTGGAGGTGCAGATGAGATGATACTTTGTTGAAGCCGACTAAAGTTTTACTACCCCAGGAAAAAATAACACAACCTCTTAACTAGGGAATTAGGCTGGAATCTGAGGACACTGAGGGAGATCATGACAATATGAAAAATTCTTTTAGAGAAAGAAGGATTAACAGACTCTCTTCTCTTTTAATCAAAGTTTGCATTGGCACCAAGACAGACTTTATCAAAATGGTGAAGCTATTGATTCAGGCACAGCTGAAAATCAGAAAGAGTGGCAAAAAGGCACATTGGATGTTTGGTAGAAAACACCTTTTATTTCTAACTTCCACTGGAAAATTGTATAAATGTAAGCTGTAGTAGATGTTTGGAGTGGTAAAACCAGAAGCTAAGTTTCGATGTCTTTAGTTTTATAGAAGTTTTTTTGAATGATGGTAATATTTGATATACTCTTATGCACTCAAATCAATATGTTTGTATTTTCTTTTGCTCTCCTCTCCCCACTCACCCCAGCATATATGCACATGCACACACACACATATGCACAATTTTTAATATTAATATAGAATTAACATTCTTTATTGGTGAGTATAAGATGGCTAGAAAATCAGGGCTCCAGGTTTCCTTCCAGCTTCTTCCAAACCCTGCATTTGACCACAAATTTTAGTACCACTCTTGGACCCAGGAAAGCTTCCCTCCTGTCCAGGTCTTGTGTCTGAGGACCACCCATCCCCAGTGCATTGCAGTATCTTCCTTGAAGAAATACCCTCTCCAGTGACTGGGACTGGCCAGGGCATCCAAGCAAGGCGCTTGGTCACGTGTGGGTCCCGGTTGCTGAAAGTGTCTTCCTAGAAATTTCCTAAGGCTGCATTCAGTGCCTGCTCTGTACACCTTTCCCTCCTGCCCCAAACAGATAGTTCCTGTTGGCCAGTATGGTATTTCTTTTGCGGTATTGGGTAAGATTGAGCTGTAAGGAACAGTAGTTAGTTTGGGGTGAGTCACATTGGAAGTGAGGAGTGCAGGGATTTGGATTCCAACAGTCCACTGCCTACTTTTGCATTCTGAGCCAAGTTTGGGCCCATCTGTTGACTCTCAACTGACCACAGGCCCTTCTCATCTATAGCTCCAAGGCACTGGGGGGGGGGTGTCGGTAGGTATCCTTTACCCTATGCCCCTACTCCCCCATGGCAGGGACCTAGGGCGGTCACCTTCTGCCCTCTGCAGACTCCATACCATATCAGGCAGTTTTCTGGGGATGGCCTTACCTATCTTTTCTGCACCTTCTCAAGGCTTTCAACATCATTGTCCATAAGCTAACAGTCCCCTCCAACTGATGTCCTCTCTCACCTCCAATTGATGTAGTGATAGCATGCTCTTCCTGGAAGTCTTAAGGCATTCCAAATGAAAGATGGACATTCCTTGAGTAAATGGTACTGGTCTTCTATACTTCCTTGCTGGTGTTGGTGGGTAAAAGGCAGGGTTTACTCCACACTGAAGGAAATCACATCCTAGGAATGCACCCAGCCTGGATGGCCTACAGAGTTGAAAAGAAGACACAGTTGGAAGTTGTATTGCTCTACATCTATGCTAAAAAATTCCAAACAATACATTAACATGACCAAAAAAAAAAAGAATTTTAATTCAGATTTTCCTGCAGGTAAGAATTGCATTTAGTGGTCATTATTGTGGAGCACGACAACAACCTTGGTGAGAACTACTGACACCCATAATCGTAAGTGACATGGTGGGCAGAGCAGTGTCAGGAGTGATGATATACCCAGCGTTAAATACATGCTATTAGGGAACTGCAGAAGCAGGAAGGATGATATTGCTTCAACCCAACAGCTTCCAAAGAGCCATGGCATTGTGAGTAATAACAGCTTTGCTACTTCTTTCTTGTGATTGCAGCTATAAAATGAGCCAGGAATGACACATTTAACAACAAAGAACATAGTGATAAAATGATAGCTATAGACCTGTACAAGAAGAAATGATGGCCGGACACTACAAAGAATCTTTATATTCATGAATAGAACAATAAACATCATTCTAAATCTTCATTAATAAATCACTATACCTCATATGAGCTCAAGAACTTTGCAATACATTTTTTAAAAATAAAATTGTGTATATAAACAGGGGCCCTACCTCTATATGCTGAGTCTAAACATGCCAATATAAAGATGAGAGACCTGTTCCAGCCCCTGTGGTTTTCATATTCTCTCTGAATTCATTATTCCTCTCAAAACAGTGTTTATTATCTACCCCTAGTCAATAGACAAATACATAAAAATCAAAAGAGAAATAAAGCATAGGCTTCTTTCATAATTGGAAGAGAGCTGTGAGCAAGATGAATGATCTATGGAGACCTCCACTGCAGATTACAGGAGAAGGCTTGCAATTACTCAGAGAAAGAAATTACATGTTTATAATAATTGAGTAGAAAGAAGCATCTCAGGGCTATGCTCACTCATATTCCATGTGGATAATTTGATAGGATTCTTTAAAGTAGTCTTGGTTATGAACTTTCTCTCTTGTATAAAAATGTTTCTAAGTCTTCCTACCAAAATAAAAAAAGAACATTCACACTTTTACAATCCTTGGTATTAACTTTTTCTGCGGCAGCGATGATCAGGGCACTGGAGTTGTGATTTGTGAATCCTGGATCTGCTTTAGGGATAAATTTTAATAGAAACTTCAGGCTTTAGTTTTAAATAATATTTAATTAAATAAATCATTAAATGCAGGTCATGGTTAATACTGAGTGTCAACTTGATTGTATTGAAGGATGCAGAGTATTGTTCCTGGGTGTATCTGTGAGGGTGTTGCCAAAGGACATTAACATATGAGTCAGTTGACTGGGAGAGGCAGACTTACCCTTAATCTGGGAGGGTGCCATGTAATCAGTTGCCAGCATAGCTAGAATTAAGCAGGCAGAATAACGTGGAAGGACTAGATTGGCTAAGTCTTCTGGTCTTCAATCTTTCTCCTGTGCTGGATGCTTCCTGCCATCGAACATCAGACTCTTTAGCTTTTAGACTCTTGGATTTACACCAGTGATTTGCCAGGGGCTCTTGGGCCTTCAGCCACAGACTGAAGGCTGCACTGTCAACTTCTCTACTTTTGAGGGTTTGGGACTCGGACTCGCTTCCTTGCTCCTCAGCTTGCAAACAGCCTATTGTGGGACTTAACCTTGTGATTGTGTGAGTCAATTCTCATTAATAAACTCCCTTTCACATATACAGCTATCCAATTAGTCCTATCCCTCTAGAGAACCCTGACTAATACAATGCATTTAATATAATTTAATAAAATTTGACTAAAATGAAAATGGCAATGTAAGACACAGACTCAAGGAGACCAATAATTTGTTTATTCTTCTTTAGGGTATTCAGACACAGAACAAAATTAAGAAATTTAACAGTTAATTTGTGATTTCCGTAGCCACTTTGCAAATGAATGTTAAAACAAATGCATTTTTTTTTCACTTAGAAAGAATTGGATTTAGTGGGATTCCGTCCCTAAAACTACTAACTTTTTTATCTTGAAATGTGAAAAGTTATTTATTCCCTTGAATGTGCCATAGCTTCCCACCTCTGTGCTATAATTATCTCTGTGAGTGGCTCCTGTCTTAATAAGCTTAACCTCCTGATGCTCACTTCTGTGATTTCCCTTCTCTGCCAAAACTTTGTGTCATCAAACTGATCTTTCTCTCCTTATTCAGTGTATTTCTATCTATTGAGTCTATAATGGTTAATTTCATGTGTCATCTTGACTGGGCCAGGGGGTACCCTAGACATTGGGCTGAACATCATTCTGGGTGTTTCTGTGCAAGTGTTTCTGGATGAGTAAAGCACATTGCCCTCCCTAATGTGGGGGTCGGGGGACGCAATCCAACCAGCTGAGGTCTGAATAGAACAAAAAGGCTGAGAAGTGGGAACTCTTCCTGCATGATGGCCTTCAAGCTGGGGCATTATTTTTATTCCTTCCCTTGAAACTCAAACTAAAACATCACTTTGGCCTAAGTCTCAAGCCTACAGGCCTACGGACTGAAATTATATCATCAGCTCTCCTGGGTCTCTAGCTTGCAACTCAACCTGAAAGTCTTGGGACTTAGCTTCCATAATGTCATGAGCTAATCCTTTATAATAAATCTCTTTTGATTTATCTAATACAGGGTCATTTTCTATATTTAAAAAAATAAAGAAAAGAAAAATGAGTGCGTCTTGTTTCTTCTTACAAAAAGAAAACAAAACAAAAAACCAGAAACAAATTTATAATTTTATTGGACCCCAGTGCCGCCTCTGGTCATCATCTTCATTTTCTGATGTCGTTCTCTATCTTAGGTATCAGTGGTCTGTGGCCACATCCCATTTCCTAAATGCTGGATTTTGGATCCTTTACAAATGTGGCTTCCCCACTCCACAGAAATTGTAGTTCTGAGGAAATCAGTGACCTCTTGATTGCAAAGACCTGTGTTCCCTTTTCAGTTCTTATTCTTTTGGCCTCTTTTGTGTTAACATTGCTAGTAAAATATTTCTTTAAAATTATAAAAGGCCAGGTGTGGTGACTTGTGGGAAGAGGAAGGCAGAAGGGTCAGAAACAGAGATGGCATCATGATAATGACCTTATGGCCACTGTTTACTCTTTGCTTTGAAGATGAGAGAAAGAACACGAACCAAGAAATGCAGGCAGACACTAGAAGCTCGAAGTGGCAAGAGAACAGATTTTCTGCACGAACCCCCAGAAAGAAACTCAGAGATGCCTACACCAGCCAGGCATGATGGCTCATGCCTGTAATCTCAGCACTTTGGGAGGCTGAGGCAGGAGGATTGCTGGAGGCCAAGAGTTGGAGACCAGCCTGGATAGCATAGCGAGACCCTGTCTATATAAAACAATTATCCAGGTATGGTGGCGTGCAACTATAGTCTCAGCTACTCAGGAGGCTGAAGCTGGAGGATGGGTTGAGCCCAGGGTTCAAGGTTACAGTGAGCTGTGCTCATACCACTGCACTACAGTGCAGACAGAGTGAGAAACTATCTCTTAAAAAAAAATTACAAAAGTTTCACTTAAGGACATTTGAAAAGTGCAGAAAAGGTAAAACCTCACCTGTAATTACAACACCCAGAGACATTCATTGTTAGTATTTTGGTTCATATTCTTGTGATATCTTTCCCATAATATACACAGTTTTAAATCAAAATTGGGATCACTCTACATATTCTTTGATCATCTGGTTTTTTATGTTTGATGTATTATGGATATTTTCTAGGACATCCTTCACAGGATGTTTAGCAATATCCCTGGCTACTACCTATGACATGTCAGTGGCACCCCTGCTCCCAGTTTGACAACCAAATACATCTCTAGATATCTCTGGCCAGTAAATACTATTCTTCTGCATCAGCTTTTTTCATGCCAGCAAATGTGATCAAACTGATACATTAAAATCTATTTTTATATCTTTCCCATTGTTAGGCATTTAGGATATTTCCATTTTTAAAGGTATATTATCAATGTGGCTGAAACTTATGTAAGAGTAATATCAACCAATGGGTTTGTAGACGAAAAGAGTCAAACTCCGTAAAATAGTTGAAGATATTTATTCTGAGCCAAATATGAGTGACCATGGCCCATGACACAGCCCTCGGGAGGTCCTGAGAACACGTGCCCAACGTCTTCAGGGTGCAGCTTGGTTTTATATATCTTAGGAAGGCATGAGACATCAATCAAATACCTTTAAGAAATACATTGGTTTGGTCCAGAAAGGCTGGAGAATTCGAAGTGAAGATGGGCGGGAGGGCGGGTGGAGGGGCAGGGACTCCGGGTTATAGGTGAATTTAAACATTTTCTGGTTGACAATTTGTTGAGTTTGTCTAAAGACTTGGGATTGATACAAGGGAGTGTTCAGGTTAATATAAAAATTGTGGAGACCAAAGTTCTTTTGAAGTCTTATAGTGGCTGCCATTAGACACAATAGATGACAAATGTTTCCTATTCAGATCTTAGTTAATCTCTTTAGGATTCAGAGGGTCTGGAAGAAAAAGATCTAGCTATGTTGATAGAGATTCTTTACAGATGTAAATTTTCCCCCACAAAGATCAGCTTTGCAGGGCCATTTCAAAATATGGCAAATAAACATGTTTGGGGGTAAAATATTTTGATTTTCTTCCTTGTCTGAAAATGTTATGCCAGAGTCAGGGAAAGTAAGTCATGATATATAGGGTTGAATAAAACCCATCTGATGAGAATTTATGATTTGTAGGACATGACTTCCCAGACCCCTTAGATAGGAATTTGGGAAAGATAAAAAATTCAGAGTTTAATCCTAGGTTTCTTACAGATTCTCTTGGGAGAAGAGCTGGCAAGGTCCGAATTAGACATTTTAAGCACCTGGCCTTCTCTATCATTCTGTCCTGAGGTGTGTCTAGCCCAAAGAGCATGAAAAACCTACTTCTCAAAGCCAAATTAATCCAGAGTTAAGATGTATTGGGGGTTAAATGACCAGAAGAGTGGGCTTGGCATTGGGAAAAATACCTTTTTCTATCTTTGGTTAAGTATTCTATTCAGGAACATTCTATCCTGGAATAAGGTGGGAGCTTTTACAAGTCCTGTGAATGCTATTAGATAGAATTTTAGCATAGAAATAGATAGCTCTGGCCCACGCCTGTAATCCCAGTACTTTGGGAGGCCGAGGCGGACGGATCACGAGGTCAGGAGATCGAGACCATCCTGGCTAACACGGTGAAACCCCGTCTCTACTAAAAATACAAAAAAAATTAGCCGGGTGCGGTGGTGGGTGCCTGTAGTCCCAGCTACTTGGGAGGCTGAGGCAGGAGAATGGTGTGAACCCAGGAGGCAGAGTTTGCTGTGAGCCAAGATTGCGCTACCGCACTCCAGCCTGGGCGACAGAGCAAGACTCCGTCTCAAAAAAAAAAAAAAAAAAAAAAAAAAAAATAGCTCTGAAGGAGTTAATTTGCCTCTCTGGGTTTCCGTTTTCTAGAATCTAATGTGAGCATGTGAGTTGAGACATTCTCTAAGATTCCTTCCAATCCTGAAATTTTGTGACCCTGTGCACAGAAATAAATAAGTTCTCCTTCTGTCTCGTCTCATCTGCTTGGACTATCCTGGCAGCTGCCCATATCTAATTATCATGTTTCAAAGAAACACACAGTGATGGGCCATGACATACCTGGTGGAAACTGGGTTTTCACAAGAGGAAAGGATAAACTGATAAGCAGCAAAACTTTCTGGGAATTAGAGGAGCCAAAGTAGTTTTATCAGATATAAAATAAGAAGGAAATGAGTAGTTTGGGTTACTATAGTAAAGGCCAGTGGAAGGGTCCAAGACTAGAATCAGTAAGTATGAAACTATAGAAAGGCATTCTTTAAACCATAGTTTTTCAGCCTTGGCACTATCGACATTCTGGGCCTGATAGTCTTTCACTGTAAGGAGCTCTCCTGTGCTTCATAGGATGTCTAGCAACATCCCTGGCCACCATCCATGAGATTATCAGTAGCATCTTCACTCCCAGTTTGACAACCAAAAACATCTCCAGGTATTTTTGGGGAGCAATTTCAGCCATCCCCTCCTTGTGAGGACATTGATTTAAAACTCTCATACTTTGCAAAGAGAGGCATTCCTAGAGACCTTAATTTTGTAATGTACCACTAAGTTAAAGTAAAAGTATACAAAAAGGTTTAATTTCTTTGTAAGTAAATTGTTAGTTTGTAAAAGCAAACAGAATGGATTAATTCCAACAAATTTAAATTATCTTTTAACAATGTATGATATGTAATCTTAAAAAGAGGTGTTAATATTTAACCTTTTAAAGTAATTTAAATAAAGTATCTCTGTTTCAATAAGGATTAGGAAAGGTACATAGAAACCATCCTAGGTGTTTCAAGTAGAAAGAGATTTGGGGTAAGAATTAGGTGCTTATGAGACTGTTGGAAGTGTGAAGGAGTAAAAGTAAGAGGGACTACTATAATTTTTTTTTTTTTTTTTGAAACAGTGTCTCGTTCTATCGGCCAGGCTGGAGTGTAGTGGCACAATCTCAGTTCACTGTAATCTCCACCTCCCAGGCTCCTGCCTCAGCCTCCCAAGTAGCTGGGACTACAGACACCTGCCATCAGGCCTGGCTGATTTTTGTGTTTTCAGTAGAGATGGGGTTTCGCCATTGTTGGCCTGGCTGGTCTCGAACTCCTGAGCTCAAGTGATCCCCCCACCTCAGCCTCCCAAAGTGCTGGGATTACAGGCATGAATCCCCATGCCTGGCCCTAGCTGAAGGCTTTTTAAAATTGTTTTAATCATGTAGGTGAAGGCCATAGACAATAGTGATTACAATTTTTTTATTTCAAAATTAAATTAATTATCTGAAAATTAGCATGATCATTGTTCTGACATAATCAAAGCCTTCTTTTTCTTTTCTTTTCTTTTTTTTGTTTTTTTGTTTTTTTGTTTTTTTTTTTGAGACAGAGTCTTGCTCTGTCATACACGCTGGAGTGCAGTGGCTCAATCTCAGCTCGCTCCAACCTCTGCCTCCTGGGTTCAAGTGATTCTCCTGCCTCAGCCTCCCAAGTAGCTGGGACTATAGGTGGGCATGGCTAATTTTTGTATTTTTAGTAGAGACAGGGTTTCATCATGTTGGCCAGGCTGGTCTTGAACTCTGGACCTCAGGCAATCCACCCACCTCGGCCTCCCAAAGTACTGGGATTACAGGTGTGAGCCACCACATCCAACCTATTTTCTTTGTGCTAGTAAGTTAACATAAGGAGCAGTTTCCTAGCATACCCTAAAAATAATGCCACCAAGAATATTTTTTGCCAGAGCCTATTAGTTACCATCATTTATGAAAGAATAAACTGCAGGCTATCAGACTATTACCCATAATGCTAGTGGATGCAGTTGCATCTTTGCTGGCTTTGAAGAAACTATGAAGGGGCTGAGGAAAATAATCATATGCAAAGTTGAAATATACAAGTAGAGAGTACATGCAAAGAAATGGTCCAATTTGAATATTTTATACCATAGAGATTTTTTTAGTTAGCTCAAGTGATGGGATAAAATTCACAAATTATTCTCAGAACAAAGACTTATTCAAATTTAAATATATATATATACTCATAATATTTTTTAATGGGAAAAGACTTGTTTCTCCAAAGAAGATACAACAACTCTTGAAAGTTTGGAGGGTCCTTGATTAGCGTAACTCTTATCTGTCTGAATACTTGCTGATATTTGAGACAGATACATTAAAGAGACAGCAGTAGTTTTTAAGAGCAACAGTGCACAAAACTGCTGCCATCAAAGCAAATTTTTATCTTGCTGGGTACCTCTAGGTACTCAGAATATTCTACTGACTGTGCTTAGGGAAATTTTTCCTAAGATGAGAAATGGTTAAACTAAATTCCCTATCCATTTTACAGCAAATATATATCAGTTTGAAACAAGCAGAATTCCTGAATTGTATGTTTAGTTTTTGTTTGTTTGTTTGTTTGTTTGAGACAGAGTCTTGCTCTGTTGCCAGGCTGGAGTGCGGTGGCGTGATGTCGACTCACTGCAACCTCCAACTCCCTGGTTCAAGTGATTTTCCTGCCTCAGCCTCCTGAGTAGCTGAGATTACAAGCACACGCCACCACGCCCAGCTAATTTTTGTATTTTTAGTAGAGACAGGGTTTCACCGTGTGGGCCAGGATGGTCTTGATCCCCTGACCTCATGATGCACAAGGATTATAGGCACGAGCCACCGCACCCGGCCGTTTAGCTTTTTTTTTTTAATTAAGTGTTTTATCTTACTATAATTCTAGATTCACATGCAAACATAAACACCCATGTACTTTTTATCCATTTTCCCCTAGTAGTAACATATTTCAAAACTACAGTATAATATAACAAGCAGGATACTGACATTGACACAGTCAAGAAACAGCATTTCCATCTCTACAAGGATTTTTAATATTGTTCTTTTATAAACACACTCACTGCTCTCTGCATCTCCTCTTCCCTCCAAACTTTCCCCAGCAACCAATAATCTATTTTCCATTTGTACAGTTTTTTAATTTTAAAAATGTAATACAAGTGGAATCATACAATACGACGCAGCCTTTTAGGATTAGCTTTGTTTATACTCAGCATATTTCACTGGTTGTGTGTATCAGGACTTGATTCCTTCTCATTGCTGAGTAGTATTTCATAATATGGTGATACCACAGTTTGTTTAAACGTTCACCCATTGAAGGAAATCTAGGTTGTCTCCAGATTTTTTTTTTTTTTTTTTGAGACAGGGTCTTGGTCTGTCACCCAGGCTGGAGTGCAGTGGTGTGATCTCGGCTCACTGCAACCTCCACTTCCCGGGTTCAAGCAATTCTCCCACCTCAGCCTCCTGAGTAGCTGGGATTACAGGCACCCGCCACCATGCCCAGCTAATTTTTGGACTTTTAGTAGAGATGGGGTTTCACCATGTTGGCCAGGCTGGTCTCAAACTCCTGACCTCAGATGATCCACCTGCCTTGGCCTCCCTAAGTGTTGGGATTACAGGTGTGAGCCACTGTGCCCGGCCTCCAGGTTTTGACTATTATTAATAAAGCTACTATAAGCAACTGTGTATAGGTTTTTACATGAACATAAGTTTTAATTTTTTTGAGGGGGGGTAAATATCCAGGAGTGTCATGGCTGAGTCATATGATAGCTGCATATTTAGTGCTTTTAAAAACTGCCAGGTTATTTTCCACAGTGGCTGTACCATTTTACATTCTTATCAGAAAGGTGTTAGCAATCCAGTTTCTTCTCATTCTCACCAACACTTGGTGTTGTTACTATTCTTTTTTTTTTTTAACTTTAGACATTCTAATAGGTGTGCAGTGATATCTCATTGTGGCTTCAATTTGCATTTCCATACTGGCTGATGTTGTTCATCATCTTTTCATGGATTTATTTGTCATCTGTATGTCCCCTTCAGTGAAACATCTCTTCATGTCTTTTGTCTATTTTCTAAACTGATTTTTTTTTCACCATTAAGTTAGGAGGGTTCTTTACAAAGTGAAGATACTAGTCTTTCATTAGATATATGGATTGAAAATATCTTTCCTAGTCTGTAGTTTGTATTTTTATCCTCTTCTCAAGGTTTTACACAAAGCAAAAGTTCTAAATTTTGATGAAGTCCAATTCATCAATTTTTCTTTTTATGAATCATGTGTTTGGTGTTCAGCCTAAGTACTTTGGCCTAGCTCTAGAGCCAGAATACTTTCTCATTTTTTTCCTTTTAAGTTTTACATTTGACATTTAAGTCTATGATCCATGTTCAGTTACTTTTTTTATTAGCTATGAGACTTTGATCAGGGTTCTTTTTTTTTTTTCTTTTTGACTGTGAATGTGCACTTGCCCTTTGTGCCTTTGGCAAAAATTCATTTGGGAATATTTGTGCTGGTCTGTTTCTGAATTCTCTATTCTGTTCCATTCATTTATGTGTCTATCCTCCTTTAATATCACAGTCTTAATTACTGCAGATACATAATAAATCTTGAAATTGGGTAGACTGATTCCTCCAATGTTATTATTTTTCAAAATTGTTTTACTATTCAAATCCTTTTGCTTTTCATGTAAATTTTGGAATAATCTTGTCTCTATCTACAAAAAATCTTATTGAGTTTTGATAAAAATTTAATTAAATATGTATAACAATTTGGGGAGAACAGACATCAGTAAAGATGTTGAGTCTTTCAGTCCATGAAAATCCAACTCTTTCCATTTATTTAGTTCTTGATTTCTTCCATCAGCATGTCATAGTTTTCAACATACAAGTCCTGTATATATTTCACTAGATTTACATCAAAGTATTTCATTTTTCTGAGCAATTGTAAATTTTATTGTATTTATAATTTTGGTGTCCCTTTGTTTGTTCCTACTATATGGAAATGCAATTGATTTTGTATGTTTATCTTATAATTGTGTGATTTTGCTGAATTCACATATTAGACCTGGAAGGATTTTGTACATTTCTTGAGCTTTTCTACATGAATAATTAAATCATTTGCAAATAGAGACAGTTTTCATCTTTTATTTTATTTTTTCATCTTTTCCTGTTAGTATGCCTTTTATTTTTTTTTTTTTTCTTGCCGTATTACACTGGCCAGGACTTCCAGGACTATGTTGAAATAAGAAGGGTAGAAGCAGACATCCTTGCTTTGTTCCTACCCTTAGAGGAAAGCATTCGGTCTTTCACCATTAAGTATGGTATTAGCTTAGGTTTTACGTATATACTCTTTATCAGGTTGAGACAGCTCCACTTTAGTTCTGTATTGCTGAATTCAATTTGCTAATATTTAGAGTCTATAACCACAAGGAATATTAGTCTGCAGTTTTCTTTTGTTGCACTATCTTTGTCTGGTTTTGGTGTCAGGATAAAATTAGCTTCTTAAGATGGATTGGGAAGGTTTCCCTTCTCTTCTATTTTGTAAAAGAGTTTGTGTAGAATTAGTGTTAATTATTTAAATATTTGATAGAATTCTCTACAGAACCTATCTTGACTTAAAGATTTCCTTTGTAGGAGTTTACAATTATGAATTTCCTTAGTAATTATAGCATTGTTCAAATTGTTGATTTCATATTTAGCAAGCTGAATAAGTTGTGTGTACATGTTTAGAGATTTGTTAATTTTATCTAAGTTATAAAATTTATGTCTGTAGAATTTTTTGCAGCATTTGTCTTTTATCATTTCCATGCTTCAGGGCCTGTAGTTATATCCCTCATTTTGTTCTTGATTTTGGTAATTTGCATCCTCTCCCTCTCTTCCTATCTCTCTCAATCTCTCTCAGTCTTGGTAGGGGTTTGTCAACTTTATCTATCTTTTTAAAGAATTAGCTCTTTGTTCTTTGTTTTTCTCCCGGCTTCTCTGTTTTTAATTGCATTGATTTCTGCTTTTATCTTTATTATTTCTTTTCTTCTGCTCGATTTTTGTTTATTTTGCTCCTATTTTGTAGATTCTTGAGGTAGATTTAAATGATTGCTTTGAGACTTTTCCTCTTTCGGAATACATGTATTTTAGTGCTGAGACTCTCTTTCTCAGCACAAGTTGAGCTGCGTCCTACAAATTTTGATTTTCATTTTCATTCAGTTCAATGCATTTTTAATTTCTCTTGAAATTTCTTCTATGAATCATTTATTATTTAGAAGTATTTGTTTAGTTTCCAAGTGTTTGGAATTTTTCTATAATTTTTTTTGTAACAATTGTCTTAGTTCATTTGTGTTGCTATGAAGAAATATCTGAGACTGGGTAATTTATAAAGAAAAGAAGTTTATTTGGCTCACAGTTCTGTAGGATATACAAGAACTATGGTGCTCACCGTTCTGCAGGCTGCTTGTCCTCTGGTGAGGGTGTCAGGCTGCTTCCATTGTGGCAGAAGATGAAGAGGAGCCAGTGTGTGCAGAGGTTACATGGCAAGAGAAGAAGCAAGAGAGAGCTGTTAAAAAAAAAAAAAAAAGGACAAAAAAACAAAAACAAACAAACAAAAAAAACACAGCTCTCTTGGGAACTAACAGAGTGAGAATTCACTCACTGATGCAAGAAAGGCACCAAGCCATTCATAAGAGATCCACCGCCATGACCCTAACATCTCCCATTAGGTCCCACTTCCAACATTAGCGATCAAATTTTAACATGAGGTTTGAAGGAGTCAAACATCCAAACTAAAGTAACAATATATCAATAGATCAATAAATCAATTGATGTATTTATCAACAGGAAAATAATAGGTTTCTTATTTGATTCCATTGTGATCAGAGAACTTTTTTATTATTTTAATTCTTTTACAATTTTTGAGGTTTGTTTTATGGCTCAAGATACGATATATATTGGTATATGTTCCATGGGCAATTGAAAATAATGCATATTCTGTTGTTTTGGGTTGGAATATTCTGTAACTGTCAAGTAGAATTTATCTGTTGATGATTTTGTTGAATTTTTCTATGGTTGCTGATTTTCTGTTGCTGTTTTTAAATCAATTATAGAGGGAGGGACATTGAAGTCCCCATCTATACTTATAGATTTGTCTTTTTCTCCTTTCATTTCTATCAGTTTTTGCCTCACATATTTTGCAGTTCCATTGTTTGGTATATACACACTTAAGATTACTATGTCCAGTTGGTGCACTGATCCCTTTATCATTATATAATGTCTGTCTCTGCCTCTGGTAAATTTTTTTGCTCTGAAGTTAACTTAATCTGATTAGTATAGCCATTCCTACTTTCTTTTGATTAATGTTTGCATAATATACTTTTTTCCATCTTTTTGCTTTCAACCTACCTATATCTTTATACTTAAGGTGAGTTTCTTGTAGATAGTACGTAGTTGAGTCATGTTTTCTCATCCACATTACTAATATGTCTTCTAATGGTATACTTGACTATTTAATTTAAAGTAATTACTGGTATGTCAGGACTTAAGTTTGCCATGTTATTTTTTATTTTCCATTTCTACTTTTTCATGTAGTTAAATTTACATAACATAAACTTTATTATTTTTAAGTGTACAGTTCTATGGTATTGAGTACATTCACACTTTTGTGTAACTGCTACCACTATCCACCTCCAGAAATGTTTTATCTTCCCCAACTGAAACGCTACACCCATCAAAGATTAACCCCCATTCCTGAACCCCTTAGCCTCTGGCAACCCCCATTTTACTTTCAGTTTCTATGAATTTGATACTCTAGATATCTCAAGTAATTGGAATCATACAGTGTTTGCCCTTTTGTGACTGACTTATTTCACTTAGCATAACATCATCAAAATTCATCCGTGTTGTAGCATGTGTCAGCATTTTCTTTCTTTTTCTAAGGCTGAATTTCACTGTATGTGTGTATAACATTTTGTTTATCCCTCCATGTGTGGATGGACATGGATTGCTTCCCTCTCTTGGCTATTATGAGTACTGCTGCTATAAACATGCATGTACAAATATCTATTCTAGTCCCTGCTTTCAATTATTTCGGGTATATACTCAGAAATTGAATTGCTGGGTCATATGATAATTCCATGTTTGATTTTTTTTAGAAACTACCAAACCATTTTCCATAGTGACTGTACGCTCCTACATTCACATCAGCAATGCACACTTTTCCATATCCTTGTCAACTTATTTTCTGTTTTTTAAAACTAATAATCATCTTTCTGCTATTTTTTTGTTTCTCTAGTTTTCTTTTACCTGCTTTCTTATATGTTATTTGAATATTGTAAATAATTTCCTTTTTAATTATCTGTGGTGGTTTTGAGTGTATCCTTTTAACAGAGCTTATTTAGTGTTTGCTCCAGGTATTACACTGTATAATTTCTCATAGTCTACTGGTGTAGTCATTTTACCAGTTTGAGTAAAGTATAGAAAACTTTCCATACTTTACACATCTTTACTCTTCCCTGTTTATAATTGTTTTAAATATTTCCTCTATATTCATTTAGAACCTCATCAGATAGTGCCATTTTTTTCCCTTACAACTTCAAACATAATTCAGCTAACTAGAGGGAAGAATGAATATCTATCATATTTACCTATATTTTTGCTTACCACATTCTTTTTTCCTGCTGGTTGTCCTGATATGGAGCCGCAGGTTTTTCAGTGATGTTTAGCTAAAATAGGGTGGTTCTTGTCTAAAAGTATTCTAGCTTGATAGGCCCCTCCTTTCCTTCTTTTATTATTTTCTTTGGGTTTACATTATTTTCTTTAGCCATTCTTTTAGAGTAGATCAGTCAACAACAAATTCTGTTTGCTTTCATTTGAGAATGTCTTGATTTTCTGTCATTACTGAACATTATTTGGATATAAGATTCTGAGATTGCAGTTCTTTTCTGTCAGCACTTGCAGAAAAAATTGTGCCACTTCCTCCAGATCTCTAGTATATTTGATGAGGAATTGGCTAGCATTCAAATTGTTTTCACCTATAGGTAATGTATTGTTTTCTCTGATTTCTTTTGAGTTTTTCTTTGTCTTTGTTCTCAGATGTTTAATTATGGTGTCTTGACGTGTATTGGGTTTATCCTGTTGGTGTTTGCTTAGCTTCTGGGTCGGCAGGTTTATATCATTTGCAAAATTTGGGAGATTCTCAGCTATTATTTCTTTGAGAACTTTTTCAGCCTCACTTTCTTTCTTCTCTCTCAAATGGCAATGACATGAATGTTAGATCTTTTGTTATAGCCTTACCTAGCCCTGGGGCTCTTCATGTTTTGTTTTGTTTTGTTTTGTTTCCAGTCTATTTTCTCTCTGTATTTCAGATTGGGGAATTTCTGTTGTTTAACTTCCCATTCACTGATTCTTTCTTCTGTCCCCTCCATTCTGCTATTGATCCTATCCATGAGGTTTTTTTTGTTTTGAGACAGAGTTTCACTCTTGTTGCCCAGTGCAATGGCACATTCTCGGCTTACCACAACCTCCACCTCCCAGGTTCAAGCAATTCTCCTGCCTCAGCCTCCCAAGTAGCTAGGATTACAGGAATGTGCCACCACGCCCGGCTAATTTTGTATTTTTAGTAGAGACGGGGTTTCTCCATGTTGGATAGGTGGTCTCAAACTCCCAACCTCAGGTGATCTGCCCGCCTTGGCCTCCCAAAGTGCTGGGATTACAGGCATGAGCCACCACACCTGGCTGATCCTATCCATAAATTCTTAATTTTTTTATGTCTGTATGCTGCTGAAGAGTGTCTAATTTTGATCATTGCATTTTTCAGTCCTAAAATTCTCATTTGATTTTTCTCTATATGTTCTGTTTATTTGGTGAGACTTTCTGTTTCCTTGATGAGGCTCTGTTCTCTGTTTGTTCCAAACATATTTGTAATTATTTATGGAAACATTTCATGATGGCTGCTTTGTTAGATAATTTATCAGATTTGTTAATTTTGTAGAATCTGCTAGATAATATATTTATCAGATAATTCTAACATACCTGCCATCTTGTTTTTGGTATCTATTGATTCCCTTTTTTCCATTCAATTTCAGATCTTCCTGGTTTTCGGTAGAATGAGTGATATTTTTATTGATAATTAAACATTTTGGTTATTACATTGTGAGATTCTAGATCTTATTTATACCTTCTGTTTTAGCTGGTTTCTTCGGACACTGCTTTGACAGGGAAAGTGGGTCACCACCTTGTTATTGCCAAGTGGGAGTAGAAGTCTGTGTTCCCCCTTAGCCTCCTTTGATAGTTAAAAATCCTGACTCTTCACTAGGCCTCCCCTAATACCAGTCCAGCAGGAAGGAGAGGGGCATCACATTACTGTTGGGTGGGGGTAGATAGAAGTCCAGGCTTCCAACATGGTCTCCACTGACAACTGAAGACAACTTCATTACCACCTGATGGAGATAAAAGCTCTAGCTCCCTAATAAGCCTTCTCTGACACTATGGCAGTGGGGGAGTTGGGGACCCTCTTTATAACTGGGCAAGGGTAAAAGTCTGAACTCTCTGCTTGGCCTTTGCTGGTAGGGATGTGAGTGGAGGTACAGTTTTACCTGTGATACTTGTTGAAGTAGAGTGGTAGTTGTGTAAAAGTTTTCTGGTTTGCTAGATTCCCCTTTTCCTTGGCTTTTGTAGGAACTTTTGTGTCAGCATTTGATGGCAATTCCAGGTTGCTGGCTTCTTCATCTCTAGGTCTGGAGTATATAAAGCAAAAACAAAACGAAACAAAAACAGAAGATGAAGCAAACAACCCCAGGGAACTCACCATCATGTAATCATGTGATTCTTTGGATCTTAAGGTCCCTGGACAGACTGCCTCCTTTTTGTCATTGTTTAGAGTCTTCTGATATTTGTTTTATATATAACTCTTGGGGGGGGGTGGTTAGTGTATCTAGTAGGAGGAATAGGTAAAAGTACATCTACTCCATGGAAACCTCGGCTTAGTTTTAACATCTGTCAGTAGGTAAGAAGGTCTTCCCTCTTTCCTTCTTCTTCATAGGAAGTAAGAGCTGGCATGTTGAGATAGCAGCAAGAATGTGAGCTTAAGTCATGTGCCTCTTATGTTAGATAAGATAAACTTGAATAAGCCTCTTTTCCTCATTTCCTCTATGGTAAATCTTAAAAATAATATTTTAGTTGCAGCAGGGCATTAAACCAAGAGTTAAGGCTACAGGGGCCAAAGTAAATTTTTCCCATTTAACATTTCTACATTGGCAATTCAGAGTTTGTTGCAGGCAGCTTTTGAAATGAATCCCAACAACTCTCCCCTTGGAGTATTCATATCCTTATGCAATTCCCTACCCTTGAATGTGGGCTGGTCTTAGTGACTGACCTAGTGACTCCTCTAATAATAAAGAGCATAGGGCAAAAGTGATTGGATGTTGCTTCTTAGATTGGGTTACAAAAGACCATGTCCCCTTTTGCTTACTCTTTCTTGCCTTGCCCATGCTGATGGAAGCCAGCTGCTATATTGTGAGCTTCTCCGTGAACAGGACCACAAGACACAGAACTAAGGATGGCCTTGGATCAACAGCCAGTGAGGAATTGAGGCCCCACAGACCAACAATCCTAAAGGAACTAGTCCCGCCAACAACCACTTGTGTGGGCTCGGAATCAGGTCTACCCCAATTCAGGTGCGTGTTTCTTAAGGATTCCAGAATTCTAGCTACCTTGGGGCTTATCTGACTGAATCAACACAATGTCCACATGTACAACAACAATGTGACGTTCTGCAGGATGTCCAAATGGCCTGGATCTCATCTGACTATATTATGATGGAGGGTGGAAGAGTGAGCACAGCATTAGAGCAAAACTGTAAATGTCACATGCTGCAAATCAAATCTTAAACCAGAAGTCTGTATACATGTAGATATGTTTCTGAAGTCTAGTTTGTTCTATTTGTTTACCCTTCCACTAGTAAGAGTTAATTACTGTAGCTTAAAATAAGTTTTAATATCTTATAGGAATTATAAATTAGGTTTTGTTCTTTTTTTATTATTCTCAACTCTCTCTATTTTCATATAAATATTAGAATCAGCTTCCCAGTTTTGAGACACACACACACACACACATACACAAACACACACACGTTGTGGGATCTTTTAAAGTTGGGATTGCTTTGGATTTACATCAATTTGTGAATAGTTGACATCTTTACAACTTTGAGTCTTCTGATCTACAAACATAACAAGTTCCTATATTTATTTAAGTTTTCTTTAATTTCTATCAATGATGTTTGGAAGTTTTCAGTGTTGAGATTACGTCTATATATTCTTAGGCATTTGATGATATTTTATACTATTGTAAGTGGTATTTAAATTTCTTTCTTTTGTTATTGGTATGCAGAAATAGAATTGCTTTCTATATTGAATAAGAATACAATGATTTATTAACATCATTTGTAAACTATAATTATCTGTAGAATTTTTGGATATGCTATTAAAATGATCATGATAATATTTTTCATTTCCAGTATTTATTCTGTTACATATTTTTGTTGACTTGTTAAAGTCATTAATACTCCAGGACAATGTTGAATAGCAGTGGTGCAGATATGTAATCTTGTCTTGTTCCTGATCAAGGTGCAAAAGGTAGAAAAGTGAAAAGCTTTTAAAAACTCATCTTTATAGCCAGGCATGGTGGCTCATGCCTGTAATCCCAGCACTTTGGGAGGCTGAGGTGGGCAGGTCATCACTTGAGGTCGGGAGTTTGAGACCAGCCTGGCCAACATGGTGAAACCCCATCTCTACTAAAAATACGAAAATTAGCCAAGGGTGGTGGCAGGCGCCTGTAATCCCAGCTGCTCAGGAGGCTGAGACAGGAGAATCGCTTGAACCTGGGAGGCGGAGGTTGCAATGAGCTGAGATCGCACCACTGTACTCCAGCCTGAGCAACAGAGCAAGACTCTGTCTCAAAAACAAACAAACAAAAACAAAAAAAAACCTTCATTATTACAAATGATATTCACTGTAAGTTTTTGTTGATATCTTTGATCAGATTAAGGAATTTCCCTTCTTTTCCTAGTTTGATTCCAAAACAGGTGTTGTAGTTTACCAAAAGATTTTTTTATTTAAGATAAATGCACCATTTTTCCTCCTTTTTTTCTGTTAACGTGAAAATCACATTGATAGTTTTTTTTAATATTATACCATGTTTGCAACTTCAGAATAAACTAATTTGGTCATGATGTATTTTTCTTTTTATATAGCACTGGACTTGACTAGCTGATAGTTTATTTAAGATTTTTGCAACAATGTAAGTAAGGGTGATTGGTGTATAATTTTATTTTCAAATCCTTGTTAGGTTTTTAAAATTACAGTTTGTGTTGTTTTCTTAGCAAGACTGTTAATTTCAATCAGGTTAACCCAGCATTGTCATAAGCAGAAAACAAATAGCTCTGATATCTTCCATCTCCCAATAGCTAAAGCATAGCTCCATTACTTGAAGAAATTAACACATCCACTTATCCACAGATAAGTTACTTTTTATCCTTCAAATCATTAACATACAAAGATGGGTTTGTGGCATAATTTTTCCTCTTCTATACTCAATTATTGAGGTGACATTTTTATTCTAATAATTTTATTTTAATTTTACTCATCACTGTGATATTAAAGGAACTAGGAGTTGAAGACAAACCTTGGCAGGGTGTCGTCTATTAAATGCCTGCTTTAGTAGAGAATATTTATAAAAGTATCAAAATGAGAAACCAGAAAGCCTGTCTTTGTCTTAATGTTGATTTTTTTCTTTTCTTTTTTTTTTTTTAAACACCAAAAGCACTATTTAATGAGAGATTAGAATTCCATCACACCTGGCAGGGCACAGTGGCTCATGCCTGTAATCCCAGCCCTTTGGGAGGCTGAGGTAGGTGGATCACCTGAGGTCAGAAATTCGAGACAAGCCTGGCCAACATGGCGAAACCCTGTCTCTATTAAAAATACAAACATTAGCTGGATGTGGTGGTGTGTGCCTGTAATCCCAGCTACTTGGGAGACTGAGACAGGAGAATCCCTTATACCCAGGAGGCAGAGGTTGCAGTGAGCCGAGATCGTGCCACTGCACTCCAGCCTGAGCGACAGAGTGAGACTCTGTCTCGAAAACAAAAACAAAAACAAAAACAAAAACAAAAAACAGAATTCCATCACACCCACACTGTTGCTATCATAAAATGTTGCCACTGTAACATAAGACAAAAAAGAAAGGTGAGGTAGAAGAAAGCCAAGTGAGGAACAGTCTTGCCAAAGAAAATGTCTATGAAGAACTTTACAGAAGAATGTTATTGACCAGCAAGTCATAGAGGAAAGAAAAAACAAAGGGAAAGTTGGAGCGGCTGTTCACCAGCTGGTAAATGTTCCAAGTATTGATAACGTGCTGTGAATATCAGGGCTAGCTACAGAATTTTATTTTACATTTTGGGTAAGGAATTGTCTTACGTTTGATAATATATCGAAGCCCAAATTTCATTTATTTATTTATTTTTGACGGTTTTATAATCTTTATTAATGTTTTTTGTATGTTCGTTCATTTGTTTGTTGTTGTTGTTTGTTTGTTTGTTTGTTTTTGAGGCAAGGTCTCACTCTGTCATCCAGGTTGGAGTGCGGTGGCACAATCATGGCTCCTTGCAGCCTCAACCATCATGGGCTGAATTGATTCCCCCACCTCTGCCTCCTGAGTAGCTGGGACTACAGGTGCACACCACCATGCCTGGCTAATTTTTGTAGAGATGAGGTTTTTGCCATGTTGTCCAGGCTGGTATCAAATTCCTAGGCTGAAGTGATCCGCCTGTCTCAGCCTCCTGAAGTGCTGGATTATGCACATGAGTCACCGTGCCTGGAAAAAAAATCCAATTTTAGATTCATGGGGTACATGTGCAGGATTCTTATGTGGATATATTGCGTAATGGTGAGTTTTGGGCTTTTAGTGAACCATCTCCCAAATAGTGAACATTGTACCCAATGGGCCACTTTTTAACCCTGAGCCCCCTCCCACTTTCCCACTTCTAAAGTCCCCAGTATCTATTATCTCCATCTGCATATTCATTGTTTGCTCCCATTTATAAGTGAGAACACAGAGTATTTGATTTTCTGTTTCTGAGTTATTTCACTTAGGATAATAGCCTCCAGCCTCATCCATTGCTTCAAAGGACATGATTTCATTCTTTTTTATGGCTGCATAGTATTCCTTAGTGTATACATTTTCATTATCCAATCAACCATTGATGAACACTTAGGTTGATTCCATGACTTTGTTATTGTGAATAATGCTGCAATCAACTTATGATTGCAGGTATCTTTTGATAAAATGATTTCTTTTCCTTGGGTAGATACCCAGTAGTGGGATTCCTGGGCCAAATGATAGCTCTATTTTCAGTTCTTTGAGAAATCTCCATGCTGTTTTCCATAAGGGTTGAGCTAATTTACATTCCCACCAACAGCATGTAAGTGTTTCCATTTCTCTGTATCCTCACTGACATATTTATTTTTTGACCTTCTAATAATAGCCAATCTAACTGATATGAGATGGTGCTTTCTTGTACTTGTATTTGTATTTCTCTGGTGATTAGTGATGTTGAGCATTTTTTCATATATTTGTTGGCTGGTTGTATGTCTTCTTTTGAGAAGATCCTTTGCCCACTTTTTAATGAGGTTGTTTGTTTTTTTTTCTTGTTGATTTGTTTGAATTCCTTATAGATCCTGGATATTCGTCCTTTGTTAGAGGTATAGTTTGCAAATATTTTGTCCCATTCTGTATGGTGTCTATTTACTCTGTTGATGTTTCTTTTGCTGTACAGAAGCTCTTTAGTTTAATTAAGTTCCATTGCCTTTTTTTTTATTGTTGTTATTGCATGTACTTTTGAGGTCTTAGTCATAAGTTCTTTGCCTAGGCCAAACTCTAGGCCAAGAGTTTTCCCTAGGTTTTCTTTTAGAATTTTTATGGTTTCAGGACACACATTTAAGTCTTTAATCCATCTGGAGTTAATTTTTGTACATGGTGAGAGTTATGGGTCCAGTTTCATTCTTCTGCATATGAAAGCCCACATTTTGGCTGAGAATCAAGGTACTATGGTATTTCCTTGTCCCTGTTCCCAGTTTTTCCTTTCTTTAATTATCTAATTCTTGTATTTTTTTTTTTTTCACCGTAAGTAAAAGACTGTCAGAGCCCAAATATCACTAGTCTCTAATCCCTGGAAATCTGTGCTCATTCAGTCAGTGAACATCAGTTGTCAGCCAGGTCTGTGCTGGCTCCTCATGGAATGATAATAACACTTATTTGTCAATGCCAAGCACAATTTCTCCAGATCATCTGCAAAGCGTTTTATTAGAAAGTTTAAAATTGCCTGAAGTCTGCTATCACAAATAGGTGAGGCATTTATTAGCTGCCAAGATCTTCTTATTTGGGAATCACTGGGCTTTTGAAAAAGAGAAAAAATGTAGCAAATTGCCATGGCCCAATCTATGTTCCAATGTCTTAGAAGTTAAACCCTCCAGATGAGACAGCACTAACCAATTTCACTTATCAGTCTGGTCTGATGTCCTTATCCAAACAAATTCCTTCAAGCTTAGGTTATGCCACTTAAAATAAAGAGTCAATTCTATCAGCTAAAAGCCTATGATGCAGTAAAGTCTGCTTAATAGTTTAGTGTAGACATACTCATTATTACATGTGTAATTGCCTTTTGAAACCAGAAAACATGTCTTCACTGGTTTTTAATTCACATTCAAAAAACTCAAAATTCATAAAATAGATAAAAATCAAGTAGATAATCCTTTGCCTTACAAAAACATTAAGCTTTTGAGTTATTTTAAATAGATATATTTGCTTTTTGGTTTTGGATTGCATTAAAGATGTTAACCACTGACAGGAAGGCACAAGGCCACTGCAGCTTCCAGGGGGTGGAGAGTCAGAGAAGTTACTGCTAAGGGAAAGTTAATCAACATGACGACGTAACTGCCCAGATAGAGCTGATTTATCATGACAGGGGAATTGCAATAGAGAAAGAGTTTCGTTCATGCAGAGCCAGCTGAAAGGGAGACTGGAATTCTATTATTACTCAGTCTCTCTGAAATTTCGGAGCCTAGGGTTTTTCAAGGATAGTTTGGCAGGCCAGGGAGTCATGCACACAGGAGTGGAGGGGATGGGGGTGTGGTTGGTGGGGGTTAGTGGGTCCAGGTGGAGCCATTGGTCATCAGAAATGCAAAATCCGAAAAGACATCTCAAAAGCCCAATTCTAGGTTCTACAATAGTGATGTCATTTGCAGTAGTAATTGAGGAAGTTGCATATCCGTGACCTCTGGAATAATGACAGGTCATTGTTTATGTCTACACCTTAGCAGAATTCAGGCTCCTCTCATCCTCCTAGTCTGGTAGTCTCTCATTACAAAGGTGGCTGAATTTTGAGGAAGGGCTATTATCATTTAAACTGTAAACTAAATGTCTCCCAAAGTTAGCTTGGCCCAAGCCCAAGAATAATTAAGAGCAATTTGAAGGCTAAAGGCATAATGGGGATTGGTTAGGTCAGACCTCTTTCACTGCCATAATTTTCTCACTGTTATAATTTTTTTATTTTTATTTTTTGAGACAGAGTCTCACTGTTTCACCCAGGCTGGAGTGCAGTGGCACAATCATGGTTCACTGCAGCCTCGACCTCCTGGGCTCAATCAGTTCTCCCACCTCAGCCTCTTGAGGAGCAGGGACTACAGGCATGCGCCACCATGTCCAGCTAATTAAAAAAAATATATTTTATAGTGATGGGATCTCACTACATTGCCCAGGCTGGTCTTGAACTCCTAGACTCAAGCAATTCTTCTGCCTGGGCCTCCCAAAGTTTTAGGATTACAGGCATGAGCCACTGCACCCAGTCTGTTACAGTTTTTGCAAAGGCAGTTTCAAAGATAGAGCAGACCCAAAATCAACTCTTAGGTATATGATGATAAATTTATAATAATAATGGTAACAATGAACCTTCCTAAAACACAATCTGATCCTGTATCCCTTTGATTTAAAACATATTAGTGTCTTCTATCAGTTACAGAATTTGGCAGTAGTTCCATTGGCTTGGTGTGGAGCGCCTTCATTAGTGGCGGCCGGGGTTTCGAGCCATGCCTTCCACTGCTTTCTTATTCCCCCACATTTCCAACTTGTGGCTCCCTCAAATTGCAATGCGGTTTCGTACCTCTGACTATTGCACAGACTCTCACATCTGCCTGGGCCGCCTCTCCTAACTTTCCTTCATCTCATGTCTCTGTCTCTTCCCTCCTCTACTGCTAAAGTACATCTTGTTCTCATGGTAAACTCCTACACATTGTAGCCAGTTGTTCTATCTTTTGTAAGCACCCAATATATGTTTGTTGGATTAACATAAAAAGGCACACAAGTGAATCAATCCCAATTGTATAAACTCTCATAGTCCTGAATTTAAAATTCTCATAACTAGGTATTTAAAACTGAAGTCTAATTTAGAGCCTTCAATAAAAAATAATGAAATAAATGTAATTTAATACTGTGTTTTCAGAGCTTATTTGAATTTTCCACAGCAAACCTCTTAAAATGTCTTATTTTGTTAATTGGGGAAGTCAGGCTACCAAGCCCACTATGATTTACTGAAATGCTCCAATTTTATGGCTTTCTCAATACTGACTAGACTCTTTTTTTCTCTTTTTTTAAATACCATCAATTACATAAATCTAGACCTGAGTGAGCTTGGAAAATTTCCAGGCATATCAACCATCTGGCTTTACTATATACAGTTCCAGAATCTTGGGAAGATTGAAGAGAATGTAAAATAGGGTCACTTCCCAGTAATTTCAAGTTGAGCTGAATCAAGGAGGATAATGCTGTCTTCTTGACCTTGCTCCCTGTGGGTAATTCATAATATGCTGTGCTGGTGATGACCCAAGACTATTTGGAATCCAATATTTCAAGGAATGCGGTTTGAACAATAAGTATATCAGTGCTTCTCTCAGAAAGAGAGAAGGGGAGTAGTGATTAAAAAAATCGTTTGTAAAAGAAGAGGGAGAGAAATGAAGACATGCAGGTGGAGATGCTGTAGATCTTATTGCCTACCTAAATTTATATTTTTAAATTAAATTTAATTTAATTTAATTTTGAGATGGAGTCTTGCTCTGTCGCCAGGCTGGAGTGCAGTGGCGCTATCTCGGCTCACTGCAACCTTTGCCTCCCGGGTTCAAGCGATTCTCCTGCCTCAGCCTCCAGAGTAGATGGGACTACAGGCACCTGCCACCACGCCCACCTGGTTTTTGTAGTTTTAGTAGAGACGGGTTTTCACCATGTTAGCCAGGATGGTCTTGATCTCCTGACCTCATAATCCGCCCTCCTCTGCCTCCCAAAGTGCTGGGATTAAAGGCGTAAGCCACTGTGCCCAGCCCCTAAATTTCTATTCTAAAAGCAACCAGATCAACGGCAGCAGTCCTGTACTTGAGTAACCAAACAAAGAGATCATTTTAGATTAGTAGCATCACAAGCAGCTTGATTAACTCACGGTTTGACTTGGTGAAGGTAAAGGTATGTTTCCTTCTATTACATATCTCTTTGGTATTTCCAGATTACTCTATGCTATAAGTGTTATCCATTCATTGTTTCAGTTGGCTGAGCTGTAAAACTTGATGAGATCAGGAATTTGTTCACTCTGGTACCTCCAGCAACTAGCACAGTATTTGGTATATGGTAGGCATTCAGTAAATATCAGTGGGATTAATTGGTGTTTATATGATGTCACGTTATAGTTTTGTCTCTCTCATTTGCTACTGTATCTCTAGCACCTAAAACATCATCAGCAGGTTTGAAGTTCTCAATAAATATTTCTTTCTCCTTTTTTTTGAGACAGAGTTTTACTCTTGTTGCCCAGGCTGGAGTGCAATGGCAGGATATCAGCTCACTGCAACCTCTGCCTCCTGGGTTCAAGCAATTCTCCTGCCTCCGCCTCCCAAGTAGCTGGGATTACAGGCATGTGCCACCATGACTGGCTAATTTTTGTATTTTTAGTAGAGACAGGGTTTCTCCATGTTGGTCAGGCTGGTCTCGAACTCCTGACCTCAGGTGATTCGCCTGCCTTGGCCTCCCAAAGTGCTGGGATTACAGGCGTGAGCCACCGCACCCAGCCGATGTTCTCAAGAAATATTTCACAGGTGAGTGAGTACCTATATTAGACATGGTCCTCTCCACCCGTCATCTTTGAAACAAAGACATAATGCACGTGCCTAACACAGTGCCTGGTACATAAGAGCTACTTGCCATGTGTGTTTCTTCTTGCCAGCTTTGAAAAGCAAATGCAGGTGGCCAGGTAGGAAAAAATAAATAAATAAAACTCTTTCTTATTAGCATATGGCAGACTCTTGGAGGGAAATGGCTTCCATCAAACAAATAGGACACTTATCACCTAAGAGAAAGATCTGTGTTAATAAGACCCTTAAAATTTTTATTGATATTGGATGTTTACAATGATAGAATGGGGAGCTGAAAACACCCTAGGAGATGATGTAGTCCATTCCCTCCTTATGTAATCCATGAGAAAATGAAGGCCCTTGGGAGTGAAGCAACTAGCCACAAGTTCACACTGATGGCTGAGCAGGAGACAAAATGCAGGTCTCCTGTCCTCTAATCTGGGGTTCTTCCCATGATACCAAATTGCTCTAATACTAACTTACATAAAGTAGAAAGAAAAAGGCCTTCTTATCACCCATGTACTACATCACTTATCACCTACATAGATGATTCTTACCTAGATATATTTTCCCCTAAAAACCAAGAGAAAAGGACATTACTTCTAAATGTTTTTTTAATGTGAGTTGTTTTTGGAAGAAATTCGAGAGAGGAAGATAGCTGTGTGATCAACTTATATCTCACATGATTACAGATTTTAGCATGATCTCAAAGGTGAAGCATTTAATAATTAGCGGTCCCGAAGCTCTATCTCCAGCATATAAGGTGCTAGTTATCTGATGAGGCTAAAATTTGTACTTTTCTTTAAATATTGTATTAGTCCATTTCCACACTGTTGATAAAGACAAACCTAAGACTGGTAATTCATAAAGAAAAAGAGGTTTAATGGACTCATGGTTCCATATGGCTGGGGAGGCCTCACACTCATGGCAAAAGGTGAAAGGCACTTCTCACACGGCGTGGGCAAGAGAGAGAATGAGAGCCAAGTGAAAGGGGTTTCTCCTTATAAAACCATCAAATCTCGTGAGACTTCACTACCACGAGAACAGTATGGGGAATATCGCCCCCATAATTCAATTATCTCCCACTGGGTCCCTCCCACAACACATAGGAATTATGGGAGCTACAATTCAAGATGAGATTTGGGTGGGGACAGAGCCAAGCCATATCAAACATCCACAAGGGAGCCTGAGGTATGAGAATTGTTTTAGAGCAGAGAACCTCACTTAGGAGTAGGTAGGCAAATGATCTTCAAAGGATTGTAAGCCACTGCCAGGGGAGGGTTAGCCCCAAAAGCTGATAATGTATTTCTGAAATTATGCTTATTGGAGGCAGAGAAGAGTCTTAATAACAGTGAGTTTTCTGGAGTAGGAAAGACTGGAGTCTGAATTCCAGCTCTATGTCATTTACTACTTTATCTTGGGCAATATTTAAAAGCTTCAAAGCTCAAATTTCCAAAATTTTTAAGTGAGTATGATAATAACAAAAATTTGTATGAAGTATTCATCACAGCGCTGGGCATTATTGAGGATAAATTGTTGAAAATTTTAGTTGCAAAATATTCCATATGCATAGAAATTTCTAGGAAAAGACCTATTCAGTCAAGTCAAGTTCCACTCAGCAGGAACTAAATTATACATGATCTCCTGGAAGGTAAGGAGCCCTAGAAACTGAGTTTCTGTGTGTAGATGGCTCAACCTGTTGCTGAACACACAGCAGGTGATTTAAGGACAATTACTGATGTCATGCGTTCCTCTTATCTTTTCCTCCACAAAACTCTAGTCTCTATCACAAGCAGAATGGACCTCAAGCTCCTTAATTTGACCTTCTAGACTGGCCTCTTCTGACCTTACCTTTGTTTCTTTAATGTCCTTGGAGAGCGTCATGTGTAAAAGCCTCATCTTCCAGGAGTCCTTCTCTACCAGATAAGGGATGAGAAGGTATCATTTCCTCTCAGAATCTCAGCACCTCTGGATCTGCACGTTCTCCAGTGCCCTCATGGGTGGGAAACATGGCTATATATATATATTTTGAGACAAGGTCTCACTCTGTTGCCCAGGCTGGAGTGCAGTGATGCAATCATGGCTCACTGCAGCCTTAACATCCTGAGATCAAGTGATCCTCTCACCTCAGCCTCTCGAGTAGCTGGTTCTACAGGAATGTGCCACCACACCTGGCTAATTAAAAAATTTTTTTTTGTAGAGATGGGGTCTCACTATATTGCCCAGGCTGGTCTCAAACTCCTAAGCTCAAGTGATGCTCCCACCTCAGCCTCCCAAAGTGTTAGGATTACAGGCGTGAGCCACCATGCCGGGCCAGGGCTGTATTTTAAGTACAGTCTCATTTTACTACAGTTAACTTTTCTTTTTAAAAATATGTATATTCCATCTATTACCTGCCATGCCTAAGTAGAAGCTACACATCTCAGGAAGCAGCTCACAGGCCCATGAACATTGAAGAGCTCTGTCCTTGCCTTCTGAGCACAGCTGCCAGAAAGGGGAGGGAAAAGAGAAGAAATTCAGTGTCCTATTTTTTGGGATTCTGAAGAAAAATTCCTGGGAAACCCACTTAATGCTGAATATTCTTGGAAAGGGCATCAATGAGTCATATTCACAACATCTGAAGAAAAACTGTTCCGTGAATCCAAAGAATGTACAAGTTGGTCAGAAGGCAAAAGAAAATAAGCATCTAATTTTCACAGATGCTTCATCGGGATGTGTTCCCAGGGGAAATTCCTGGGATTGGACCTGGGCACAATGGGCCATACGTGGTTTGTTTTATTTTTGTGTGTGCTTTTTGTTTGTTTCTTGGGACAGAATCTTGTTCTGTTGCCCATGCTGGAGTGCAGTGGTGCAGTCATAGCTCATTGTAAACTTAAATTCCCGGGCTTAAGCGATTCTCCAGCCTCAGCCTCCGGAGTAACTAGGACTACAGGCATGAGCCACCACACCTGACCAGTTTTTTAAAATTTTTTATAGAGATAGGGTCTCACTATGTTGCCCAGGCTGATCTCCAAGTCCTGGCCTCAAGCGATCCTCCTGCCTCGGCCTCCCAAAGCACTGGGATTACACGTGTGAGCCACTGCACCTGGCCTGTTTTATGTACGTTTTTACTTCCCGACTTTCCACTTCTGTCTCAGAGAACCTGAAAACCAACATTGGCTTAATATCTTTGTTCCCACAAGAAAGAAGCTAATAAATGAGTCTCGGTTGTTTAGGGATTTAAAGCTAAGTCAAGCTTTAAATGGTAGTGGTCTTGCTGGGCACGGTGGCTCATGCCTGTAATCCTAGCACTTTGGGAGGCTGAGGCAGGTGGATTATTTGAGATCAGGAGTTCAAGACCAGCCTGGCCAGCATGGTGAAACCCCATCTCTACTAAAAATACAAAAATTAGCCGGGCAGTAGTGGTGTGCACCTGTAATCCCAGCTACTAGGGAGGCTGAGGCAGGAGAATTGCTTGAGCCTGGGAGGCAGAGGTTGCAGTGAACTGAGATTGCGCCACTGCACTTCAGTCAGGGCGACAGAGTGAGACCCTGTCTCAAAAAAAAAAAAAAAAAGGGTAGTGGTCCTAACAGTAACCCCTACACCCTTTTCCATACGCACACAGGTTGCTTGATGTCTGATCTCAGGGATAAAGACTGTGGACAAAGGCAACTCTAACCCTCTAACTCTTCTCTCTCTCCTTCTCTTTCCTTGAAAAGCAGCTAAACCTTTCTCACTGCTCTGATAACTCACATAACTCCGATAACAGAGAAATTGGGTTTTTCCGAAACCAAGACTTTTAGATGTGGTCTATAGATGTCGCTGTTGGACTCATCTTAGCGGGTTTCTCTGCTTAAATGCAAGGTTTCCTGTGCTTCCTTGAAACAAGAGTTGTGGAAGGAATGGCGCCTTTGGCCTCAAGGCTAAGAGCTCTGCTGAATGCTTGCTTCGGAAAGGCTTTTCTCGGGAGGCTGACGTGAGCTTGTGATGAAGGCAAGAATTAGGTTTCTTTCAGTCCATGCTTCCTTAATTTAAAACAAGCTTGGCCCCTGCTGAACTTTCTGGTCTCTCACCCTCTGGGGCTAGAGGAATTACTGTGCAGTTCTCTTAATATGGAAGACCCTCTCTTGCCTCTAGGCCTTCGCCCCTGCTGTTCTCTCTGTGGGGCACCCCTCCTTCCTTTCCCCTGGATGACTCTTGATTGTCTTTTAGTACAAGTGCTCAAAGTATGGTGCACACACCAGCTGCTGGCCAGGACCCTTTGTTACTGGTTTACGACAAGATGAGCTTGTGTCAGAACCTAAGTGAACTAAATCTCTAAGCAGACCATTTATTTCAGTTCGTTCTCTTTTTTAGTGAGATTCTCTTGAAGAAGGAAGCAGTGTACTGATTTACGTTTTGACACAAGCTCTTGTCACAGCCTGGCACTTTCAGTGAGTCTGCCTTAGTACAGGGCTGAAACACTCTCCTCTGGGAAACCTTGCCCAGTCCTCCCTCGACCCTTCCACCTTGACTATGTTTGTACCCTCATCAAAACACCTGGCACACGGTTTTGGTAACTGTCTGTTTTCCCAAGGAGTTTAGAAGCATCTTTACATCATGGGTCAATTAGCTGCTGAATGGGCGGATGAATACATTTTCAATATCTTAAATTCAGATAATTTATTTAGTATAGGGTGAGAATTGTTCATGTTTTATGCAGTTTTGAATATTGTACTGTCTTCCTAATGTGGTAAAACTGGAGTCAGGTTTCTGAGATAGAATAGAGGTAGTTCTTTAAATTCATAACCCTTTCCACAAATACCATACAGAAGCTGGAAGGTTAAATCACGTTCACTTGAAAAGGAGACACCTACTTATTACCACCATTTTAAGTTGTAAATATGGTTGAACGTGGTGTCCAGGATGCTGGCTGTCTTATCCTAGTTCTTGGCTCTCTCCCATCTGTCTGCCTAGCTCAGCCAATTCTTCCCTCAGGGCTGTGAAAGGAGGTTAAGCGGGAGCAGAGGTTTTATCCTCCCTTAATGTTTCCAGAACATTCCTGGTTTCTTACTAAAGCCTGGATTTCCTTAAAAAAATCTGGAGTTTTGGGGGATGTACCAGGGACTTGCCAGAAGCTATCATTTCAAGAATGTGTTTGCTTTTCCCATTTTTTCCTTCCCTTGCTGGTGATAAGCCCCCCCGCTTCTCTAAGACAGTAGGTCACCCCGAGCCCCAGGTTTCAGAATGGTAACACACTCACTACCCGTTCTGTCAAAGCAGTATCTCCCCACCAAAACCAAAGTGGGTGAAAGAACATGAAAACTCCCCAAGAGAAAAACATCCATGGCTATAAAGAGGTCCTGATTCATCACATTCCTTAACCTCTGTCTCTTCACACAAATCTACGTGCTCATTTCTTCCTCCATGCTGTGTATATTCATCCAAATACTGTGTACGTGTCCATGTGCATGTGCCAGAATGCTTTAGATAAATACTACAGGTGCAGCCACAAAAATTGTTTTAATATTAACTCTCACTATCCCTGACCCTGGTTCACTACTAAGCATTTTTTTTTTTTTTTTTTCTTTTTTTTGAGGCAGGGTCTCACTCTGTCGCCCAGGCTGGAGCACAGTGGCGTGATCTTGGCTCACTGCAAGCTCCACCTCCCAGGTTCATGCCATTCTCCCGCCTCGGCCTCCCAAGTAGCTGGGACTACAGGTGCCCACCACCACGCCAGGCTAATTTTTTGTATTTTTAGTAGAGACAGGGTTTCACTGTGTTAGCCAGGATGGTCTCGATCTCCTGACCTTGTGATCCACCCGCCTTGGACTCCCAAAGTGCTGGGATTACAGGTGTGAGCCACCGCACCTGGCCACTACTAAGCATTTTAAGGCTAAAATAATCAGAAGAAAACTTGAGATGGTTGCTCTAGCATGTTAAGTGCTTCCTGGGTGGTGTTTCACTCTGCATTACATGACTAATTCAATAAATTTAATTTTCTATTCCAAGTTCCTCAGAGGAAACTCGCTTTCCTTCAGAATCAGCCTTCCAGCCAGGAGGATCCTGGATTAAAGTCAAAAATATGACTCAGTTGTTGGCAGCCTTTGAACTATTGCCAGAGGAGACTTTCATTAGCAACAATTATACAAATCTGACATTTACAAAGGGATTCAAAAATGCATAAAGTAGTTCCATTTCTATGACTTCACCTGATCCTTCAAAAGAGCATACATTTTCATCATTTTAAGAATGAAGAATTTGAGGCTCAGAGATTTCAGGTATTTAGCCCCAAATCTCACAGACAGTAAGTGGCTAGTCAGGACTTAATGGCACACATGCTGACTCTGGTTCTGGTGTCTTCCTCCCATGCCTTTGGCCTAGTGAAAGGCCATGAGAGGCAGCCTCCAGAAAGCCTCTGGGAGCCAATGAGGAGCAAATACCATGCTCATGACAGATGACCTCAACCTGTCCTTTCTTCCCCAGTCAGCCAGGGTGGATTGAAAGAAACTAGCTCCCCTAGGCTGCAAGGGCAGTGTCTGATAAATGTCACTACCATGGGCCTGGTGGGCCTTGACATGCACCTGCTTCTCCGGAGCCTAAGCAGCTCTCCGGGGATAGGCCAGAGCACCTGCACCAGCTAAGGCCAAGTCCAAAGCAGCTCTGTCTCTACAGCCTTCCTTTTCTTCCAATGACTAGGATAACAAAATGTGACAAACAATTACTTCCAATTGTCACTTGTCTTTAGTGTACAAGATGAGTTTAAGGATTTGGAGATGAGACTGGGAGCAGCGGAGACTTAATCACACTTTTTTTTTCTTTTTCGTTTTTTTTTTTTGTTTTTTGAGATGGGGCCTCACTCTGTTACCCAGGCTGGAGTGTAGTGGTGCCATCTTGGCTCAGTGCAGCCGCAATGCCCTGGGCTCAGGTGATTCTCCCACCTCAGCCTCCTGAGTAGCTGGGACTACAGTCACGTGCCACCATGCCTGGCTCATTTGTTGCATTTTTAGTGGAGACAGGGTTTTGCTATGTTACCCAGGTTAGTCTTGAACGCCTGGACTCAAGTAATCTGCCAGCCTCAGCCTCCCAGAGTACTGGGATTACAGGCATGAGCCACTACATCTGGCCTTAATCACACATTTGAAAAGTTCTGTGGCTACTATTAAAAACTCAAACAACAACAGATGCTGGTGAGGTTGCAGAGAAAAGGGAACACTTATACACTGATGGTGGAAATATACATTAATTCAGCCACTGTGGAAAGCAGTGTGGAGATTTCTCAAAGAATTCAGAACTGCAATTCAACTTGGTAATGCCATTACTGGATATATATTCAAAGGAAAATAAATTGCTCTCCCAAAAAGACACAACCACTCATATGTTTATTGCAGCACTATTTACAATAGCAAAGACATGGAACCAATCAGAAGCCCATCAGTGGTGGACTGGATAAAGAAAATGTGGTGCATATACACCATGGAATACTATGCAGCCATAAAAAGGAATAAAATCATGTCCTCTGTAGTAACATAGATCCAACTGGAAGCCATTATCCTAAGCAAATTAATGCAGGAATCGAAAACCAAATGTACTGCATGTTCTCACTTATAACTGGGAGCTAAACGTTGAATAGACATGGAAATAAAGACGGCAAAAATATCACTGGGGACTGCTTGAGAGAAGAGGGTGGGAGGCCTGCAAGCAATGAAAAACTACTGGGTACTATGCTCACTACCTGGGGGATGGGATCATTCATACACTAAGCCTCAGTGACACACAATTTACCCATGTAACAAATCTGCATATGTACCCCTGGAACCTAAATTATAAGTAGAAGAAGAAAAAAATTTCTATACTTTCACTTAGAAACGATATGTCTTTGTTATAATTTCCTGTGGAGCTCAGGATTAGCAGCTGAAATTTTCTTAGAATTAAATATACAGATTATGAGTTCTCCATTAACCTTGTCAGTTGGAGGTAATTTCACTGGAGCTATAACACAGCTGAAAAATATTACATCTTTCAACATGGAAAAAAAAAGTCTGGAAAAGTCTACTGAAAATTTCATTTGATTTCACAGAATTTGCTTGTGAAGGTTTCGGTGAAAAGGAAACATAATTACAATTAACATCTGAAAATCGCTTATCATTGTGCTTGCCCAAACTACACGGATTTCTGTCTGAAGCTCTGGAAACCGAATGTTTTTTAAATAATGCGTTTGCTGAAAATGGATAAGGATAAAAGCTTTTGTTTCCCGTTGTGTTTTGATTGATTAGATTCCCAACTGTTGGAAGATTTCAAAATTAGTTTTAGACAGTAGCTGGACCAGCCCATTTCCCTCCCTCTAGGGCAACAGAGGCAAGAGCAGAACTCTCTGCTGTCAGTCCTTTGGCCTCAGGGAGAGTTCAAATACACAGTCTGCAGGAAATAGGGGTCAAAATCAAAATCAAAAACAGGTGGAAATGGAAAATAATTTAATTCTAAGAAGATTTCAGCTACTAATATTGAACTTGGTAGAAAATTAGAACAAAGGGATAGTTTGTAAATGAAAGTGTTAGATTAGGTAGTTAGGCAGACATTTGCAAGACAGGAGAGGGCCTCCCCAGGAATGTCAGGCAACCATCAAGAGATGGTCAGCTGGTTGTTAAACTGTCTGTCTGAAATGATAATTGGTCACAGCCAGCTCCAGAGGAAGACGGTCTCCCAATAGATAGAAAACACCTCAAGATGGTGACCAACAACTTTTTGATAATATCTCAAGAGTTGGGTAATCAGGCCCATCCATGCACGCTAAGAGGCAAAATGGTGGATGTATGACCTTCCTCTGAGGGCATTCCACCAGTAAAGGAAAATCGCCCCTAGAAAGCATACATACAACCTCAGTAAATGCAGTACGCATGCAGTCACCATCCCGAGTGCTGACTGACACTGCGCATGTGGCAGTTGAGTGACAACACACCTGAAGGGAAGAATGACAGGAGTAGAAAAGAAAACCATGAAACCATGCCAATGTACCAAACCCCAAGCCAAGGGCTGAATGGGGCCCTTGGATCTCAAGTTGCCTGCTTGACCCTCTTCCAAATGTACTTTGCTTCCTTTCACTCCTGCTCTAAAACTTTTTAATAAACTCTCACTCCTGCTCCAAAACTTGCCTTGGTGTCTCCCTCTGTCTTAAACCTACTTTTGCCACTTAGCCGAATTCCCTCCTCTGAGGAGGCAAGGATCAAGTTTGCTGCAGGCTCACATGGATTTGCCACTGGTCACAAAAGTACAGCAAGTATAGAAAAATGAGAGACTAAAAGGAAAAATAAGAGGTCCAAACCACAAAGTCAGCAGTCACTGAGGGCAGGAGATTTCCTGCTTCAGCCAGAAGGGTCTGTTTTATGTGTGAGTCTCTCATCTTTATCATTCTGCCACGTGAAGTCACCACTGTAGGAAGGGACAGATGATGGTAATGAAATGGGAAAGATTCCACTGTCCCCCTCATAGGGCCTGCGATGGGGGAGTGGCTTAGTTCTTCAGTGCCCCACTGCACAAACTTCTAGGGGGGCATACAGATGGGCAGGCTGTGGGGCTCCGACCCCACAGCAGTGTCTAGGGGTGAATGCTTACAGCTTCTGAGGCCCCAATGGGCGTGTGTTGCAGGGTGCTTTTTCAGTTTGCCATCTATAGGGAGCTTATGTTAATCAGCTCAATTAGACCTTGTACCTTGTTGCAAGGACAGGATTCTTGTATCCCGGGTTCTTGCCTTGGTGTACCAGAAGAATCAGATCACATGTGGGCTTGGAGAATGAGTGAAAAGTTTTATTGAGTGGAAGTAGCTCTCCGCCTATGGGGGAGCCAGAAGGGAGATGGTTTCCCCTGGAGTTGGGCCGTTCAGTGGCTCTGGCTCTTCTCCAACTGCTCCAGCCAAACTCCACCTCGTCCCATTGATGGATGGCCTGCCAGCATGCCGGTGTCTGTCAGTGTGTTCTTCCACTGGCATGCTCCCTAAACCTCCTCTCACCATCCAGCCTCTTGTGTCTTCTTCCGCCGATGTGCTGCTCTCAACATTTGGAAGCCTGTGTGTCTGCCCACTGGCACTTGGGTTTTATAGGCCCAGGATGGGGGTGTGGTAGGCCAGGGTGGTCTTGGAAAATGCAACATTTTAGCACGAAAGCAGGAGTGCCTGTCCTCACCGAGGTCCATGGGGGTAGAGACCTAGCCAGGGACCCACCTTTCTCTATCCATCACTTCCCTGCCCCACTCTTGTATCAGTGACACAGCAGCCAGGCTCCTGAGCAGGCAGGACTGCTACTGACCAGGGCCACATTAAACTTATAACCTCCAGCCAGAGCCATGCAGACCTATCAAGGCTTGTGGGCCTCTAATTCTGTCACACAACAGAGGGAGACCAGACTTTTGGACAGGAGATTCCCCTGTGCATTGTAACCAAGGACCCCCTCATTCCCATGAGATACCCTGCAGCTGAGAAAAAGAATAAATAAGTCTGTGTCCTGACAAGGAAGCCTATTCCTAAGAGACTGTTGAGAGCAGCAACCATGTTTGAAAGATTCCCTATTATTTAATGTATTCACAATAATCATATGTTGTTTAACTCCTTAAAAATACACACATATTTTGCAAAGGCTGTTTAAAAAATAAATAAAATAAAAAATAAATCCACACATAGTTGGAGTTTCCCAAACTAAGAGAGGAAAAAAAAATAAGCCATGGGCCTTTATTCAGGTATTACACTTGACTCTGTGATACTTCTGTCTGAATTCTACAGAACTGGGCAGTGAGTGCTGCCTTATGCGGTCAACTCCCAAAAGTAGCTCATCAATATCTCATCTCTACCCCTTTTCTATTTTATGCCATTTCAAAGAGCCCAACTGTCATCTGTGCACACCAAAACCACTCCATAAATGCTAGTGGGGTTTGTGGACCTCAGCTCCATACTGATATACAAATTACTGCAGCTGTTTGAGGTTATTTGTATTTACAAGGCCATGTGAACATTTTATTTCTTAGGCCAGTACAGCTAGAAAGACAAAATGTGGTCTCTAGTGAAAACCAATTGCCCATTAGTTAGAATTTAAGCCCACATTTGCACTCAGCATTGTGCGAGATTTACAAGATCCATCAGGGATAATTGCTGCCTTTTGGAAATTTGCACTGTGAAAGAAAAAGCATATAAGTATAAATAGGGAACATAGGTATCTGAAAAAATTTAAACTGCCCTTTGGCAGCTGTCCATTGTCACCAGAGAGGAGAGATTGCCTGATGTTTCCCCAGAGGCCTCACATGGTGGCCCGCCATCTCTTGGCAACTTTCCCGGGCCCAGCCTCAGCCTACAAGCTTGGAAATTTAATTTTGCGCCTGTCTCTTAGAGGCAGACTAATAAGCTCAAAGAACTGATAGTAAAAGGCTGAACACCAACTTATTTATTCATTTGAGAAATTATTAAGGAACAGAAGACTCACATTTGTATGACCAGTGGATTTTCTGACTATTGAGGGACTTATGAGGCAAGCCTGCTCAGTTAGCAATAATCGTGCCTTGGATAAACCTCACTGGCTATGATACTGCCACTTCACAAAGCTGCCAGCTTGCTCAGGATGTGAAGGCTGTTGAGGTGGGTAAAATCAGAACAATGGAAATTGATCAGACAAAGATTCGATGGCATCCCGCTGAGCTCCCCTGAGAATTCATCTCCTGTTGGGGATGGCCAAGAACTCACTTGTGAGACCAAATTGCCCACTGGGGAGTGCCCCATGGAGATGAGACATATACTGAGCTGAACTGGTGAAGTAGGTCCTGCTTATTATGGGGTCCAAAAGGAATACATAATCAGGTTACTGGCCTCAAGGGGAAATATCTATTGGTGGAAGAAAGAATTGTTTTTATAACATTCTTTCAAATATTGGGCTGAATTCTATTCCTGATGTTGCTGGCTAATAATCATGTCAATGGTAAATCCCCTCACATGTTGATGCCTTAGTTTCTCCATCTAAGGAGTGAGATCTATGTACTACCTGTCGTCTTCGGCTTCCTCAGGAGTGCAGGGTACAAAGTTGCTTATACTGTTACAGTAGGTAGCTAGTCAGGCATGAGTGGGACAGGAGAGGGCTCCCCCCACCCACCAGGAATGTCAGGTGACCATCAGGTGATGGTCCAGCAGTTGTTACACTTGCCTCTCTAACATGATAATTGGTGGCAGGTGGTGCCAGGGAAAGGCAGTTTCCCAACAGATAAAAACACCTGAAATTGGTACTCGGCAACTTCCAATAAGATCTCAGGAATTGGGCAAGTGGGCTCGAGCATGCCCATTAAGAGGCAAAATGGCAGAGCATGACCTTCCCGGGGCATTCCACTGGAAAAGAGAAGAAAGCCTCAGGTAAGCATGCACACAACTCCAGTGAACGCACTGAGCATGCTCACCTTCCATGTGCAAACAGGAAACCGTGCATGTGAGTGGCTCACCCTAAGGGAACAACCAAGGGAAAGGGGCACAAGATGCTGGAAGTGGGCCAGCATATAAAATCCTAGGTTCAAGGTCAAATGGAACACTTCACCTCCAAGATGCCTGCTTGAGCCTCTTCCATGTGTATTTTGCTTTCTTTTGTTCTCCCCTCCCCCCGCTTTTTTTTTTTAAAGACGAAGTCTCACTCTGTTGCCCAGGCTGGAGTGCAGTGGCATGATCTTGGCTCACTGCAACCTTCACCTCCCAGGTTCAAGCGATTCTCCTGCCTCAAGTCTCCTGAGTAGCTGGGTCTACAGGCATGCACCACCATGCCCGGCTAATTTTTGTATTTTTAGTAGAGACAGGGTTTCACTATGTTGGTAAGGCTTTTTAATAAACTTCCATTCCTGCTCTGAAACTTGCCTCTGTCTCTTTTTCTGCCTTATTCCCCTTAGGTGAATTCTTTCTTCTGAGGAGGCGAGAATTGAGGTTGCTACAGGCACATAGAGATTCACTACTGATAACAATATTTGCAATTTACCTTAATCTCAGAGAAAGGATAGAAGGGCACCAAGAACAGGAAGATGTACATCTATCTTTTCTCTGAGAGCAAGGTAAAGTACAAGCATTGTAGGCACATCTCAGTCTTTAGGCAACCAATGCTCTGTGAAGCCCAAAATTTAAAAAATAAATAAATAAAAAGAGGAAGTAGGGGAGAAATCTGAGTGATAAACTAATCACCATCAAGAAAAACAAAAAAAGCCCATGCACTTATTCAGCAGGAGAGACTGTTAGGGACTCAATAAAATGAGTCTTTAATTGCCCATCTACATAATACACACATTTAATTGACTAGTTTGCTGGCACAAATAGTGTATGATTGAAAGAGAAAACAACAATCAATTCTTGCTATTGTGGCTTCAAAAAATAGACAAAAAAAGATAAGTTAAAACTATGCAATTAGGCACATGAACTGAGATTGTAGTCTGGTGCTGTTTTCTGCAGAGCATGCTGCTCCTTACTGGCCCCAGATTATCCCAGTATTAGTCTGTTCTCATCATGGTGCTAATAAAGACATACCTGAGACTGGGTAATTTATAAAGGAAATAAGTTCAGTGGACTCACAGTTCCACATGGCTTGGGAGGCCTCACAATATGTTGGAAGGCATTGGAGGAGCAAAGTCACATCTTACATGGCGGCAGGCAAAAGAGCATGTGCAGGGGAACTGCCCTTTATAAAACCATCAGATCTCATGAGACTTATTCACTATCATAAGAACAGCACAGGAAAGATTCACCCCCATGATTCGATTACCTTCCACCAGGTCCCTCCCTTGACACATGGGGATTATGAGAGCTACAGTTCAAGATAAGATTTGGGTGGGGACACAGCCAACCCATATCAATCCCTCTGTCACAGTCTGGGGGCTACCGGCCATCACAGTTGGGATCCTGACTCAGGGAGGATAAATATTAAATTAGCATTACTATACCTCACCTAAATATTCAAAGGCTGAATTTAAAATACATTTTTCCTATGGCTCAAGGACATCAGTTAAGAAAAAAAGGAAATACATTTTTTCCTTAACTGATTAGAAATGATTTAAATAAGTACTTAAAGGGTTATGTTTTCATTGACTGCAAAATTCACTTGAGTGAAATGGCTTATTTTCTATGATGCCAAATAAATGCAAGGGAAAATTCTCTTTTTCCTTGACTCCAATCTCAACTATCTTAGCTTTGAACATATATTTAGATTTTTTTGTCTTCAAAGTGTATAAAATTTTCAAAATCTTCTTATGTGCCTTTAAATTTCATCCTCACAGAAGAAAGGGTTGCATACATTTAAAAAAAATAGCAACAACCAAAGGATAAAATCTTAAAGGATATAATGCTACAAGAGCTACAAAATGACTCATTATTTGGGGGAGTTTTTAAAATGGGCTCTCTTTATAGTATCTGTATCAAGTCAACAAGTACCTTTATCTTCAAGGTGTCCTCATTGTTATGTTAAAAAGCATTGCAAGTATCCACACTAGGAACATTACGATGAAGTCTGAGACTAAGAGAGGAGTCCACAGAGAAAAATCAGGTGCAGCGGGAGGCTGAAGGTCAGGGGATGGAGGTGGGGTGCTCCTAGCAGACGAGGGGAATGGGTATAGAATGGGTTGAGGAGGAATGTGGGAAAATGAGATTGATTTAAAGTGAGGACTAAACTCTGATCTTTTATTTTTTCTCTTGCCCAAATTGCTATCTAAGTGGTCTGGGGAGTCATGCCCTACAAATCATAACATCTCTTTAGATGGGATTTTATTAACCCTATATAATGTGGCTTACTTTCCAAGCTGATTCTGGTATAGCATCACATGACTGCAGATCATAAGATAAATCAAAATATTTTACCCTCAAATATATTTCTTTGACATATTTTGAAATGACTGCTGCAAGGCCAGCAGACTGAGGTAGGGAAAATTATTATCTATCAATAATCTCCATTAATGCAGCCATCTTTCCCTTTTCTATGTCTTTCCCAGATCTAGGAGAGATTGAGAGTCTGACACTTTTAAAAGTCTGAAAAGAAACATGTACCATCAGTTCTCTCTGAGGGCCACCACCTATGAGGCTTCACCTACATAATAAGAACCTTGGCCCCCACAACCTCCTTACCTTAACTCAGGCATTCCTTTCTCCTAATTTCAAGCCTTTAAACAATAGCTTAACTCTTTCAACCAATTGTCAACTAAAGATTTCCTAAAACTCACCTATGCCTTGCAAACTTCTGCTTAGGTGTCCTGCCTTTTTCGACCAAACCAAAGTATGTCTTCCACATACTGATTTGTGGTTTTACCTGAAATTCCCATCTCCTTGTAATGTATAAAACCAGGTCATAACCTGACCACTTTGGGGACACTTTCTCAGAACTTCTTGAGATTGTGTAGTCCAGGCCTCTGTCACTCATACTGGCTTAGAATAAACCTCTTTAAATACATTTTGGCAGAATTTGTTTTTTCCATCATCAAAAGTAGAGGAGGTATAAGCAGACAGGGAGGATCTCCAGCAATTATAGAAATTTAATCGATTTGAGCAATCAGCCTGTTTTACAGCTTCCTGCCCTGCAGTCTGTTTCTTCCTAAGTCCAGTGTGGAATGCAGTCACCTACTTGGTGAAAACCAGCTCCTGACAGATTCCAGCAATTTACAGACAAACCTAAGTGAAGTTTCCTCATTACCATGCTAAAGTCTCCACTCCAGGGAGGAGCTATAGCTTCATTATCATAACATGCAACATATGTGATGGCTCAATGACTCACTGTGGCTGTGCCACTGGGACACCTCCTCCACATGCAATGACACACCCTCCCCCCTCTCCATCTCCCCATAAGACCCTCCTGTCACTTTCCTTCCTGGAGACACTGGCTTGGAGCATACCCCAGCATCCTCCTGTGAACGAAAAATAAAATTCTAAGCTCCCACAACCAACTGGATGGACCCCTCTTGGCCAAGGGTATTCCAAAGTTAACCTGAAACACCAGTTGAGGCTGTGATGGGGATGGGTGATTGGACTTGCCTCATTATACTCTCCTCTCTTTGGAATTTAGGTACAAATGACCAGCATTAACATTAAAACAGAGACTTTAAAAAGGAGACTCTGTAGCAATTAGAAACCAACATGAAAAATAACAGTCCCTGAAAGAAATCAAAGCATTTTACCCCAAAATATATTTTTTGATATACTTTGAAATGTCCCTGCAAAGATGTCTTTTGTGGGGAAAAATCTACATTCTGTAAAGAATCCCCTTCCCTTTCCAGGTCTTTTTCCTGATCCAGAAGCAAATTAAGAGTCTGGTACCTTTTTAAGTCTGATAACAAGCATTTACAATCTATTCTTTCTGAGGCCTGCTACCTGGAAGCTTCATCTGCAAAATAAGAACTTTGGTCTCCACAACCCCTTATCTTAATCCAGACACTCCCTTCTATTGATTCCAGGTCTTTTGACACACTCTTTCAACCAATTGTCCATCAGAAAATCTTTGAGTCCACCTATGACCTGAAAGCCTCTGCTTAGAGTTGTTCCACCTTTCCTGACCAAACCAGGTCTTGATTGATATCTTATGTCTCCCTAAAATCAAGCTGCAGCCAGACCACCTTGGGTACATGTTCTGAGGACCTCCCGAGGCTGTGTCATGGGTGTGTCCCCAACCTTGGCAAAATAAACTTCCAAATTGATTGAGACCTGTCTCAGACACTTTTTGGTTTATACTCCTTACTTGTACCAAGTAATAATTATCCTATGGGGCCAGGTGCAGTGGCTCATGCCTGTTATCCCAGCACTTTTGGAGGCCAAGGTGAAAGAATCACTTGAGCCTAGGAGGTCAAGGCTTCAGTGAACTAGTTTGCACCACTGCACTCTAACCTGGGTGACAGAATTAGACCTCCTTTCAAACAAACAAACAAACAATTGATTTAAAAAAACCCTGCATTCTCTTAAGGAGGCATTTGTTACTTGCCAGGCAAATGAACCCCGGTTTTTTTTTTGGGTAACAGAGGGAGTCAATCAAGAGGCTACCAAGCAATGAAGCAGGTTAGGGCTTGGATTGATGGCCAGACAGAATGCAAAGGTTTTGCTTTCCTATTCAACCAGCCTTAGGAGGGGTCTGGAGTCACTGGCTCACTGGCAATCTGGCATTTTGAGGCCTGGGGGAGTTCTGAACTGGGGCAGGCATTGACGATACAGGCCACCTGGTCACAGCGCACCTGAGTGGTGGAAACACGGGGGAAGCCGAGTATCTTTGAGGGAAAGTCAGACATAGAGTGGGTGGCTCAGGACCTGCAGATCCTTACTGAATCCTGACTGATAATTAAAAATGATCATAAATTCTTTGCCATTCCTCCTATGTACAGATGGAACCTCTTGGTCCACCTGTCCATCTGGGCTGGCCCTGTGACCACTGAGACTGACAGAACACAGCACAGGAATGCCGTGTGTGTCTTAAGCTGGGGCCTCGAGAGGCATTGCAGCTTCCCTCTTCCCCTCTTGCAATGCTGTTGCCTCCTGAACAAGGTAGGGAAAATTGTCATCTGTCAATAATCTCCACTGAGATTATCTCCAGGCTGGTCTCCTTGAGGAAGAGAAACCATGTGCAGACAGAAGCCTGTCTCAGCAGAGGCCCCAAACGTGCAGATGAGCCTGGCTCAAATCAAGCAGCAAATCAGTAATTGTCACTAAATTCTGAGTTGGTTAAATCTTTGATACCCTAAATATTTGGAATTGTCTTTTCCGTTTCTGGCCTGGGGGCTGCCACAAGCTCTGCTACTTCTCCCCACCCATAATGTGTTTTAAATCTCTTCCCAGACCCATTGCTGCAGCTGGGGCTCTGATGGTCTGTCTCCCAGCTGCGTCACTGCAACGGCCTCACAACAGGCTTTTGGCTCTAGTCTTGGGGAACAAACTGCAGTTTGCCCCTGCTTCCTGACACCCCTCTTTGAGAAGACTCCCCTTACCCACATGTGGGGCACAGCCCGTCTGTGCGCTGGAATCTCCCCTGGGCTGGTTCTCAGCAGCACCTTCCCATAAGGTCAGCTGTCACCAGCGTTCCCCATGGACCCAGTCTCTTTTGTTCGAAAGGTCATAGTCTGTATTGCTCTCGCCCCAGGGCTTGGCAGGTAGTAGGTGCTCAACACACACTTATTGGACAAATGAATGGGCTAAGGTTGGCCCTTGCTGCGGGACAGACAGTGATGCCCACATTTTTTTCTGAGGTCCCACTTAGCTGGTTGTAGTCGATTTGTGAAATGCAAGGAAGTGAAAATATGATCTTGTCACATTTTGCTTGTTCTTTGTTAGCGTATTTTTAACAGTGGGAGTTGCCATGTATAAATGGAGCAGGGCAGGGTGCAGCGGCCCAAGCCTGTAATTCCAGCACTTGGAAGATGGGAAGATTGCTGGAGGCCAGGAGTTTGAGACCAGCCTGAGCAACATAGTGAGACACCATCTCTACAAAAAATTTTAAAAATTTGCTGTGTGTGGTAGGGTTCACCTGTACTCCCAGGTATGTGAAAGGCTGAGTCAGGAGGATCCCTTGAGCTCTGCAGTTCAAGGCTGCAGTGAGCTATAATCACTCTACTGCATCCCAGCCTGGGCAACAGAGTGAGAATCTGTCTAAAAAAAAAAAAAAGCAGGTGGGGGGGTGAGGCAAGAAGGCATTTTGGGGAGGAAGTCTTTTTGGCTCTTTTGGGGTCAGCCCTGAGCTTCTCTGGGTGTTCAATTTTGTGGGCTGACATGCTGGTGACTTTGCATGCAGTGCCCTGACTGCCTCGAACCCTCAGTTGTGTTAGAACAGTGTGTGCCTAGACAACCTCACTGTCTCTAACAGCAGAGATGGGAGAGTTGTCTCCACTTAAATGTCGGGTGAAAATGGAGAGAAAAGTGTATCTGCAGATCACACACCACTCCGAGAGGAAAGTACAGAATGAGAGACTTGGCTTCTATCACAAAATAAGTTAGTCTACGTACGTATGTGGGTTTGTATGGAATGTCTTCTAAGTTTTGCTTCACTTTTAACATTGTAAACACCTGTCTACTTCTTTTTTCTTTTCCTCTGCTTCTCCTCCTCTCATCATCCTCCTTCCCCGCTGACTCTTTGTATCTCTGCCCAAATTCTATTTCTTCTGATTCCCCTCAGCACGCAATGGACAGAAAGAATAATTTAGTAAAAACAAACAAAAAACAGGCCAAAATAATTAATTGGTAAAAATAAATATTTTCAGTCATTTTTTCATTCTTTGATAACTCTTATGGATTGTGGAGGCTGTTTTTGTCAAATAATTTATGCTTGTAATAACTTTTGTCTACATTTTGGAATTTTCCAGGAGCTTGTTGCTAACTTTGGTGAGATTCTCACAGAGTAGTTTTCTTCCTTTTGGCATTGTCCTGTTTGCAGATATTTCTTGATGTGCCTTTGGCAATGTTTTCATGTTTTTTTTTTTTTTTTGGCCATCTCCAGTCTTATTAGTTTTTTTTTTTTTTTTTTGAGACGGAGTCTCGCTCTGTTGCCCAGACTGGAGTGCAGTGGCGCAATCTTGGCTCACTGCAAGCTCTGCCTTCCAGGTTCACGCCATTCTCCTGCCTCAGCCTCCCGAGTAGCTGGGACTACTGGCGCCCGCCACCATGCCCGGCTAATTTTTTGTATTTTTAGCAGAGACAGGGT